>NC_000004.12:135285017-135588047 GCF_000001405.40 Homo sapiens | reverse complement strand
CAATTCCAGGTTTTATGTTAATTTATCTTTAAGAAAATTAGAAATGTTAATTCAAAACGGGAATTCAGGGTCAAAGGAATACTGAGAAGAGAACCAACTTCACTTAGAATGCAAAAGTAAAGGAGACATTAAGAAAAGTAAAAGGTGATTCTATTGATGACAGACTATGAAATACAAAATGCATAGATAAAATATTTGGGGATGACCAAGGGAATAGAAACATAAATCGGATAGTGAGAATTGTGTGATAAGTAGTCCTCACCTGAAAAATATGGTCTTACAATTTTAAATGAAAAAAAAGGAGGGGTGTGAATGAAGAAGATAACCTCTTTGGAGATTGTTGGTAAAATTCCTAAGCATGTCCTCTTTTGGGCAGTTTATAGTAATAAAGAATGTAAAACTTGGATTTGATGTAGAAGCATTTTTAGGGCTTACTATGAGAGTAAAACTCACAAAAACTTGTCAAGACCCTGTCTCCTTCTAGAGTAGAAGAAAACGTCCCATACTTTCAAATACAACAGCTCTACCTCCTACCCTAAGCTTATGATCCTCTCTTTTTCTGGGACAATCTTTCATATTGTTACTCAACTGTACATTTATATAGGATTCATAATGTGACTATGAAGAAAGAAAAGTAATTATAATAGCCAATCAACACCTGTTTTCTTTCTAAGTCATCTCATTACATGTCACCTCTGTATCCACTTTGTCTCTCCTGTGTCTATGTAATAAGCTCATATATATTTTTCAGTAAGTATATATTGGATATTTGAATCATTTTTTTGCATAATCATTTAACAATTGTAGAGGAAACCAGAATATCTGAGTTGTGGAAATGAATAATAAAATGATTGCTGAGGGATTTAAAATACACATATTTCCACATCACATGTGGAAAGCCACTGCCAAGACAGAAAGACCATTTCATATCAAAACATATAGATTTTTTTTTTCAAGTAGGAAATAGAAAAGTCAGGTTGGAAGTGGCAGTTTTGTGCTCCTTTTGATTTAATATAAACCATGTCTTCATGGTTCATTTTCTTCCTCAAAGTATAAGACTTATGCAGTTGTTTGGTATATAAAACACATTTTATAACTTAATGTGTTTTAATGGAGCTTGAATTGTAGTTTTAAAATAATACAGAATAATCTCCACAAATGCTAACAACAATGCTCAGTTGTATTTTTTCCCAGTGCCTCAAAATATGTTTATCTTGTTTTAATGGGTAGCTGGCTCTCTTTATTCCAGTATCATATGAATTAGATTTTTTTTTTTTTTAGACGGAGTCTCACTCTGTCACCCAGGCTGGAGTGCAGTGGCTCGATCTCGGCTCACTGCAAGCTCCACCTTCTGAGTTCACGCCATTTTCCTGCCTCAGTCTCCTGTGTAGCTGGGACTACAGGTGCCCACCACCATGCCTGGCTAATTTTTTTTTTTTTTTGTATTTTTATTAGAGACAGGTTTTCATCCTGTTAGGCAGGATGGTCTCCATCTCCTGACCTCGTGATCCACCTGCCAAAGTGCCAGGATTACAGGCATGAGCTACTGTGCCTGGCAATAAATTAGATTTTAATGAGTATGGTGCATATTTTTAATTCATAGTACTTGAGACTTGCAAGTCTTCTTTTGAAACTACTTACATGCCTATTACATATTATAGAAACAAGGTACCTTCTTCACAAGAAAAAAGGAAGGAGAAATGCTGAGAGAATGGAGAAGAGCCCCTTATAACACCATCAAATCTTGAGAGAACTCACTCACTATCATGAGAAAAGCATGGAGGAAACCCGCCCCATCATGCAATTACCCCCACCTGGTCTCTCCCTTGAGATGTAGGGGTTATGGTGATTATAATCTAGGATGAGATTTGGGTGGGGACACAAGGCCTAACCATATCATTCCACACATGGCCCCTCCCAAATCTCATGTCCTCACATTTCAAAACACAATCATGTCTTCCCAAAGGTTCCCCAAAATCTTAATTCATTCCAGCATTAACTCAAAAGTCTAAGTCCAAAGTCTCATCTGAGACAAGGCAAGTCCCTTACACCTATGAGCCTGAAAAGTCATAAGCAAGTTATTTAGTTCCTATATATAATGGAGGTACAGGCATTGGGTAAATACACCTGTTCCAAATGGGAGAATTTGGCCAAAAGAAGGAGCTACAGGCCCCAGGCAAGTCTGAAAACCAGTGGGACAGTCAAGTCTCAAAGCTCCAAAATGATCTTCTTTGAATTCATATCTCACATCCAGGTCACACTGATGCAAAGGTGGGATGCCATGCTCTTGGGAAGCTCCACCCCTGTGGCTTTGCAGGGTACAGCTCCCCACCTGGCTGCTTTCACATGCTGGCTTTGAGTGTCTGCAGCTTTTCCAGGTGCACAGTTCAAGCTGTCAGTGGCTCTACCATTCTGGGGTGTGGAGGATGGTGGATCTTTTCTCACAGTTCCTTTAGGCAGTGCATTAGTGGAAACTCTATGTGGGGGCTCCTATACCACATTTCCCTTCTGCACTGCCTTAGTAAAGGTTCTCCATGAGGGCTCCACCTCTGCAGCAAACTACTGCCTGGACATCCAGGCATTTTCACACATCCTCTGAAATGGAGATGAAGGTTCTCAAAACTCAGTTCTTGACTTTTGCACACTCACAGGCCCAACACCATATGTAAGCTGCTAAGGCTTGGGGCTTGCACCCTCTGAACCAATGGACCGAGCTGTACCTTGGCCCATTTAAGAAATGGCTGGGATGCAGGGCTCCAAGTCCCGGGACTGCCCAAAGCTCCAAGGCCCCAGCTGTCATCCACAAAACCATTTTTAACTCCTAGGCCTCTGGGCCTGTGATGGGAGGAGCTGCTGTGAAGACTTTCGACAGTCCCTGGAGACATTTTTCACATTGTCTTGATAATTAACATTTGGCTCCTTGTTACGTCTGCAAATTTCTGCAGCAGGCTTGAATTTCTCCTCAGGAAATGGGTTTTTCTTTGCTGTCACATTGTCAGACCAAATTTTCCAAACTTTAATGCTCTGTTTCCCTTTGAAACTTAAGTTCCGATTGCAAAACTGTATCTTGGTGAATGCATAAAACTGATTGCTTTTAAGAGTACCCAAGTCACCTCTTGAATGCTTTGCTGCTTAGAAATTTCTTCCACCAGATACCCTAATCATTTCTCTCACATTCAAAGTTTCACAGAACTCTAGGGCAGGGGCAGAAAGCCACCAGTATTTTTGCAAATACACAGCAAGAGTCAGTGTTGCTCCAGTTCCCAACAGATTCCTCATCTCCATCTGAGACCACCTCAGCCTGGACTTTATTGTCCATATCACTATCAGCATTTTGGTCAAAGCCAGTTAAGAAGTCTCCAGGAAGTTCCAAACTTTCACACATTTTCTTGTCTTGTTCTGAGCCCTCCAAACTGTTCCAATCTCTGCTTGTTACCCAGTTTCAAAGTTACCTCCACATTTTTGGGTATCTTGATAGAAGCACCCTATAAAGATTAGTATCTGTCATACTAATTTACTGTATTAGTTTGTTTGCATACTGCTATAAATAACTGCCTGATACCTGGGTAATTTAGAGAGGAAAAAGGTTTAATTGACTCACAGTTGAGCATGGCTGGGGAGGCCTCAGAAAATGTACAATTATCACAGCAGGCAAAGGGGAAGCAAGACACCTTCTTCTCAAAGTGGCAGAAGGGAGAAGTGCCAAGCAAAAGGGGAAGAGCCCCTTAAACCATCAGACCTTCTTAGAAGTCACTCATTATCATGAGAACAGCATGCGGGAAACCACCCCCATGATTCACTTATCTCCACCGCGTCTCTCCCTTGACATGTGGAAATGATGGGGGTTATAATTTGAGATGAGATTTGGGTTGGGACACAAAGCCTAACCATATCAGTGCATAACTAAATGTAATTTAGAATGCTAATTTAAAGTGTCCTTTTCCATGCAGAAATCTATGAATGTGCATTTTCTTTTCCCAAAATTAACTGTAAATTTATGAAATGTTAATAAAATAATTAAAGACCTTAGAAATCTGGAAACAGAGAATCTTAGTCATTTCACAGTCTGATTTATATTTATCCAGTAGGCATTGGTATAGCTATGGTGGTTGATACATTATTGAAATACTTTAGTAGAGGAGAAATAGTCCCTGAATAAGTCCTCAAATCCTACCACCCAAGAGTGCCCTTCATACCCCAAACCCTCTCAAAGGATGCTCCAACTTTCACATATTTCTGCCCAATACAATCACTTTATTCTCATGCTCTAGGATTAGGCCAGCTTGGATTCATTCTGATTGAATAGTGCTCACTAATCTTTGGAATAACATCATTGATTATGCTGGAGATGAAGAAGAGCAAGATGGTATTTCATTGGATCCCACTATCACCACTATATCCATACATACTCTAGTAGCATTAAACTTTCTCCGTTAGGTCCAGAAGAAACTATTTGTGATTTGGTATTTATTATTTCCCCACTTTGGAATACATTCTGTCTATTACTTCTCTGTAATTATTAAATAATATTACAGTGTGTGAGGTTGCAAGAAGTAGTAAGATAATTTTAAGTTTAAAATAACAGAATGAAGAGAGGTCTCTATTCTTTTTCTTCTCAGTTCACAAGGACAAGCTGCCAAGTGCAAGGAAGAATAAGCAGAGTTGTAAAAAAGATATCTAAAGAGATATCTGATTGCTCAGCTATCAGAGAAATGGAAGAGAGTCTTGTCTTCAAATACTTGTTTCAAACAGCAGGTTTTCAGCACGTAGGGTGGAAGCAGAAGTTTCTCATGAGCACCTTTTGGATCACAGTAAGGGGAGAGAGATAGAACAGAAACACACAAGCATGCCATGTCACTTTGTAATATCATAAACATTTCGTTATTCCATTCATTCTTCCATTATTAATCAAATGAATTTCAACAGATTACAATACAGGACATGGTCTTTTAGAACTATAAAAGCAGATTCTAAAGTTTGTGAGAAGCTTATAAGAAAAATATTCAAGAAAAGGTAAGAAAATTATGAAAAAGAAAGGGAAATTGGTTTTAAGGATTATTTGCTCTACCAGTTATTAAAACATTAAAATTAATAATAAGCGTATCTAATATTTTGTGTGCTATGCTAAGTGCCAAGTATTTGAAATGCTATGATGTCAGTTCTTAATGATTATCTTTGCTTGAGCAAAGGTCAAGGTACAACCTGCTTTAAGATGATGTAATAAGTCCAGGTCCAGGCAGTGACACACCTTGGAAAAAGAATAGAGGAAGGTTGCTTCCCCGAGTGAAAATCAGGTGGTTTGATGGTGGAGTTATTTTTACTAAGAAAGAAAATTAAGATGTCAGCTCACAATTGTATTTGTCATTATTTAGTAAATTTATTATTTTGCATCCTATATATGTCAAATATTCACATATGCACTACTAAACCTAAATATTCAGATGTCTATTTCCTCTTCCCAATTCAGAATTCTTATTGCTTCTTCCATCAAAGGAAAATCACCATATTTAAAGTTATACTTTCAACACGTTTCTGTATATTTTTGTAAAATATATCCCTAAAGAATAGATTATTCTTCTGCATGTTTAAAACTTTAGCTGGTACAATGATCTCTGAATTTTTCTGGAAATTACATTTTTTCCTCTCTCAAAATTGGTTTGTTAGTTATACCCATGTGGATATGTCTGGCTCTGTTCCATTTAATCTTTACTATTGTGTTATATCCATTCCTGTGTTGTACAGCTGTGAAAATTTCACTAGTGTAACACTTAAGAGTAAAAAATTTCTGGTAATTAAGTAAAAGGCATTTTCACATCCAGTAGATCTTGTCCAACAGTATTCATAGGGGGTTATACTAAATTATATTTGCATCAGCAGTTTAGAGGCTTTCCCATTACAGTACAAGCAGCACCACATTTTAGATCTTCAAATTTCAGATTTTCAAAGTGTTGCCCATATTTTGAGTGTGAGCTTTTATCTCTGTATTTCAGTTTCCACTTTCCTTACATGAGCTGATTCATTTCATATACTAATTGATGATTCGGTTTACTTTTTCTGTATATAGCTTTGTTATAGCCAGTTTTTCTATCATGTTTTACCAGTTTATTTGTAAAAGTTCTTTTTCTTTACTGGTAATACATTTTATTAAGATGCTCCCTTGTAAGTTATTTGTATTTTTTAATTGTGCTTTATACATTAAGCATATATTTATTGGAAACTGCTACTTGTGCATGGTAGGAGGTAGGAATTTGTATAATTTTAGTAGACAACTAAACATTTCTAACTGATGTAGTGACTAGTTATCCCTTACCCATTATAGTGCAAGGTAATTTCAATTGAATCTTAAGTCTGTGTTTAGGAATTGGTATGTGAGCCCTCTTTTCTATTGTGTTGATCTGTTTATTAGCACAACCAACAGCACATACCTTTTATTACTGTAGCTCTTAAAGTATCTTTTTCTCTTTTTTTCCACAAGCATCATTGTTTGTTTTCTTGCAGTTTGTCTATCCTTGTCAGTTGCTCTTATAAATACATAAATTAACTTCTCAAATGTTAAATAAATCATTATTATTTTGATTAGAATTGCCTAGGTTTATAAATTATTTTATAATTTGGGTCGAATAGAAGTGTTTGCAGTATTTAAAATAGATTAGTTTCACACATGAACATACTATTGCTGAAAAGCTGTAAACATTTAGGTTTGCATTGATGTCTTTCAATAAACATTTATAACTTTTTTCATTTAAGAGTGTATTCCTAATTTTAAATAATATTTTCACTGTATCCTTTTCTATGTTTAGATAAGTTTAGATGCACAAATACTTGTTACAATTGCTTACAGTATTCAGTATAATAACAAGCTCTACAGGTTTATAGCCTAGGAGCAATAGGTTGCACCATACATCCTAAGTGTGTAGTAGGCTATACAATCCAGGTGTGTGCAAATACAGTCTATGATATTCACACAATGATAAAATTGGCTAAGGATGTATTTCTCAGAATGTATCTCTATCATTAAATGACACACAACCATCTATAAAACAAACACCATTTGTTGCACTTATGTTCATAAGAAAGGTTGGTTGGTGATTAACTTTATTTAATACCCTTAATTGATTTTTCATAACAAGGTATATTATTCCATAAGTACCATTGGGAAGTGGAGTCTTTCTAGTTTTTCCTCTTATGATGTTCCGTGAGATAGTATGTTATTAGTAGAATTATCTGTTTATGAATATCTGTTGGAAATTATATAAAAATCTCTGGGTCTGGTATATGTTAGGTAGATCTTACAGAACTTAATCAAATATGATCATGGTAATAAGATTACTATATTTATACTTTTACTGAGTCAAATACATACACATAATTACATATAGAAATATTAAAAATATATTTGTTCTATAAAAGTTAGCAAATTACTTTGTCCTAATAATTTGCTTTATATTGACTATAAGGTTGTGAATTATTTTTTTAGCGATATTAAGAACCTACAGTAAGTATAATGCTGACATTGAAAATTACTGAGAGTTTCTTTATGGATGAATATATGGTTTTTATATTGTTCCATACAACACTGGGAAGAGTGTATTTTAGGTAATTTGTATATGAGAGTTCTACATTATGTCTGTACATAAGGCTGCTTAATTCTACAGTTCAAATCTTATATACACTACTGCATTTTTGTTCACTTTGGTGCTAATACAATGATGGTTTTTCTTCATTTACTTTTGCCAAATTATTATTATTATCATATCTATGCTTGCTTTATTTTGTATTTTGTACTGAAAATTCTAACATTAAATGTCCTGGAAATTCTAATTCTGCTACGTAAATTTTTATGTCATGTTTCCAAAATATTAAATTTTGAGAAATTTTCATATGTCTGATGCATAATCTTTTGTAGTCCTGTTTAAGGGCCTGTAGTTGGACAGTTGATTTTACTTTGCATTTTCCAGGTGTCCCAGGATGCTAAAATAACTGAACCTCTTGCTATTCATTTCTGAGTTTGTGGTTTCCTGGCCTCTGCAAGTATTGCAATTTGAAACCATAAATCCATGAATATAATGACCATACCCTGATTCCAAGTTCTCAGTAGGGACTTTTCTTTCCAATCTAGAAACAATTATGAAATTTACACTTAGCTTATTTTCGCCATTTCCTTGCAAACAGATATCTTCCAGCCTACTCGTTGCTAAGGGTGTTTCTTCAAGGAATCCTGCAACATGCAAGTATTTAAGTTCCATTTCCCCCTCCTCAACTTGTAAGCTAACACAAAGGCTCGTGTCTCCAAGCAGCTTTAAATTTTAAGGCTCTGTGTCTTGCTATCAGCCAGTATCATCAGGGCAGCTTCAGGTGCCTGTCTTAATCATCCATTCTAGTTTTTATGTGTTGTTCTTCTAAGGCTTTGTGAGTTTTACTTCTAACCAATCAATGAAAATGATGTTTGTTATACTTTATGCAGCAATTTTAGGTATTTTACTGTGGGGGGTTTACTCAAAAGCATTTAATTTTCACTATTGCCAAACAAAGAAACACCATGTAATTCCAAAGATGTATAAATTTGTTATAAAGACCAACTTGAAATATTTTACACATTAAATTAAGAATAAATATTTTATAGATATTTGGGAAAAATTTTACTATTTACCTTTTAAAATCTTACAAGAATATTGCATAATTATCACATTATGGTATTGTGAGTGACCTAACCATATAGGAATAATAGTATATTTTTAGATTTACTAAGCCTTGTAAGATAAAGACCTTTATAAGCCAAGAAAAATAATATTTAAATGATATTTGTTAATAACTATGGCATTAAGAAATGATTCTATAAAACAAAATGAAAATGAAAAACTGGAAGGTGTTATAAAAGACTTTCTATTGTTAAAGAAAATTAAAGACTCAGAAGTAATTTTAGCAATGTAAATCTGAAATGCTTTTTGATTATTTAGCCAGCAGAATAAATCTAGAATTTACTGTTTTTTGCTAAATCCTTTATTATACACATGTTTAAAACTAGTTTGACTGGCTCCTTCTATATATATCAGTTCTTGAGACACATTAATGAGTAAGAAAGAAAATACTTTCCCTCATAAATTTGCGTATGTTATAATGAGGGAAGCTGAAAAACAGCTAGTAAGAATAAAAATAAAACTCATTTTTTAATAAATGCCAGAAGAAATAAAGGAAAATAGGAAACCAACAAATGTTCAGGATGAGAGCAATTTTAAAAATGATTGCCAAGAAGAGTCTGCTTTGGAGGTTTTATTTTAACAGAGACATGATGATTGGAAGAAGAAAGTCATTATAAAATATAAGGAAGAACTATCCTAGAAATGTAATGATGAGAGCAAATTTAGCCCGATGTGTTCCAGAGACATCAACAGTGTGGCAGATATGACAGCACAGGAGAAAATGGTAAACATTAAGATGGGAGCAAGGCAGGGTCAGTTCACATGTGGGCTTGGGGATGGGTTGTCTACGTAAATCAACAAACAAGTATTTTTTCTGTTTTAAATATTTGTGGGTACATAGTAGCTGTATATATTTATGGAATACATGAGATGTTTTGATACAGGCATGCAATGTGAAATAGTGTAAACCAAAACTGTCCTAGGCATACCAGGCCAAACTGCTACACTGACTGTAGATCAAGGTATGAATGTTTTCCATGAGGAGTTGATGTGAGTTGATTTAGTATATAAAATATAACTCTGCTGCTCTTCCATTAATTTATTGTATTCTCTGAAACTGAATATGTGGAAAAAGGAATGAGGTAGCAGGAAAGGAAACATTGAGATCAATAGGAGACCCATGAAGCCACCCAAGAGAGAAAAATGACAATTTAGATTAGGAGGGTCCCTACTGATCACATGCAGATTTGAACGTCTTAAGAAAATTGGAAGGTGCAAGTCGTAAATTTGCTTTTGGTAATGAAACAATATTTGTGTGTATAATTTATTATCTATCATAGTTGTGTACTCAAGATTGACAAATTTTATTTTATCTTTATAAGATACAATGATTTTTCCACAGATTAAAAGTGATTGCATTAATACCAACTATAAATCTTATATTGTATAACATCATTTTTATGTTTTTTAATTCTATTCATTCACAAGAATGGAGGTTAAGGAAGTATGATGTATGATGGAGTGGAAATAGTATAAATTTTGGAGTTAAGATAACTGTCATTTAAATAGTGTCTGTCACTTGCAGGCTGTGCTTTTTTCTACATTTACTAATCTTTCTGAGCCTCAGTATTTTGTCTTTTAACGGGCTGAAAATTGAAAGATCACAATATAAAGACGGTCTCATCCTAACTGTTCAGAAAATTGTTGTCATTTTTTATTTTGATTTTTTTAGAAAGAGGGTCTCACTCTGTTGCCCACACTGGAATGTGGTGCCACAATCATAGCTCATTGCAGCCTCAAACTCCCAGGCTAATGCAATTCTCCTACCTCTGTTTCCTGAGTAGTTGAGATCACAGGTGTATGTCACCATGCCCAACTGGTTTCTTTTTATTTTTTGTAGAGCCAGGATGTTGCTATGTTGCCCAGACAGGTCTCAAACTCCTGGGCTCAAGCAGTCCTTCATCCTTGGCCTTCTAAAGCACTGAGATTATAGGCATGAGCAACCATGCCTGGCCAATTGTAGTTATTTCTATTATCATCAACAGTGTTATCATTCACTTAAATCTGGATCATGAGGTTTCTGTCGGCACCAGATTTTGAAAAATAAATATTGTTTTATCCAAGTAAATTAATGAAGTTCTCAAAAAAAAGTAACTACCAGAATCTGGCAGAATTCTCAAAATAGCATAGAGCAATTTTAAGTTAAATCAGAGTTATTTACTCAGGGGAAGATTTTTCCAAATATTTTTCATAAGAATTTTTATACAAAAAAAACAAATAGTACTACTAGAGTTATCTTGCTTACTTCCCTTTTTTTTTTTTTTTTTTTTTTTAGATGGAGTCTCACTCTGTCACCCAGGCTGGAGTGCAGTGGTATGATCTTGGCTCACTGCAACCTCCACGTCCCAGGTTCAAGCAATTCTCCTGCCTCAGACTCCCCAGTATCTGGGATTACAGGCACCTGCTACCATGCCCAGCTTATTTTTTTGTATTTTGGGTAGAGATGGGGTTTCACCATGTTGGCCAGGATGGTCTTGAACTCTGGACCTCAAGTGATCCACCCACCTCAGCCTCCCAAAGTTCTGGGATTACAGGTGTGAGCCACCACACCCTTGGAGCTTTGGAGCTCCAAGTGAAGATTTGGAGCGCTTTGAGGCCTACTGTGGAAAAGCAAATATCTTCACATAAAAACTACACAGAAGCATTCTGAGAAACTCCAAAGCTCCACTTGGAGCTTACTTGCTTTTTTGATGATTAAGTGCTAGGTACATAACTGAGAAAGAGGGGGAAGAAAAAGGAAACCCAGTGCAAAAGATCAAATAATATTATTCATAGTTATGAGCAATTATACAATTATTGTTATTAAAATTAGAAAATAGGCTGTTTTAAAAGGTACTTTTACATTATTTATTGCATTTATTCCATTAGGTTCAAAAAAGTAATGCTGCAGCTATTTATAAGACAGAAAACTAAGACTCATAGAGATTAGTTGAATTTTCCAGGACTGTATGGCAAATTAATAGTAGAAATCGAATAGCAGTGTATGCTTTCTAATCTTATTTAAACTCATTATGTCACAAATCAGAGCCATCTCTGTAAGTTTTCATTTTATGCCTGAATAGTATTCCATAGTGTAAATATACCACATTTTCTTTAGGCATTCATTTGTTGATAGACGCTGAGCTTGATTCTGTATCTTGGCTACTGTGAAGAATGCTGCAGTAGATGTTAAATTGCAGAAATCTTTTCAACATGCTGATTTCATTTATTTTGGATAGATACCCAGTAGTGGAATTGTTGGATCATATGATAGTTCTATTTATAATTTTTGAGGAACCTCAATAATGTAGTTTATAATGGCTCTACTAATTTATATTCTTACCAACAGTGTATGAGTTCCACTTTGTTTATATCCTCTTCAGCATTTGTTGTATGATTCAGAAATTTATTTATTCTGTTTTCCAATTCATTGTTGTACAGTCGCTCATAATAATCTCAAAGGATTCTTTGTATTTCTGTAGCAGCAAAGTGGTGTCTTTTTTTCATTTCTAGTTTTATCTATTGTTTTACTTCTCTCCTTTTTGTTAGTCGAGGTTTGTTTATCTTGTGCATTTTTTTCAAAATAACCCTTCGCTTTGTTGATCTTTTTATTTTTTTAGTCTATTTTATTTCTGCTCTGATCCTTAGCATGTCTTTCCTTCTACTAATTTTGGGTTTGATCTGTTGTTTATCTAGGTTCTTGAGTGCAGCATTAAGTCATTTATTGGAAGTAGTTTTAATCTTTTGATGTGGTATTCATTGTTATAAACTTTCCTCATGGAATTTCTTTTATATATCCCAAGACTTTGGTATGTTGAGCTTTTGCTTTTGCTTATTTCAATAAATTTTTAAGTTTTAAGGTTTTTTTTTAAATAGTAATTGTTCCATTTGTTGTACAAGAGCATATTGTTTAACTTCAATGTATTTTCAAGGTGTCCAAAGTTCTCCTTTTATTGATTTCTAGTTTTATTACATTGTAATAATTTTGTTATTTTAAAATTTGTTAAGATTTGTTTTGTGGCCTAACAAATGATCTATCCTAGAGAATGTTCCATGTACTGATGAGAAGTATGTGTAATCTGCAGCTGTTAGATCTAACGTTCTGTAAATGCCTGTTGTCCATTTGGTCAAGAGTGCACTTGAACTCTGATCTGACCTTTCTTTATTTTCTGCCTGGATGATCTGTCCATTGCTGAAAGTGGAATGTTGATGTGCCCTACTCTTACTGATTTGCACTCTACTTCTTCCATTAGGACTTTTAACACAGGCATATCTTGTATTATTGTGCTTTACTTTATTGTGCACTGCAAAAACTTTTCAACTACTGAAACAGTCAAATGGAAAGTTTGTGGCAACTCAGCATCAAGCATGTCTGTTGGCCCATTTTTTCTAACATCATGTACTCACTTCATGTCTGTTATATTTTGCTAATTCTCATAGTATTTCAAATTTTTTCATTATTATTATATTTGTTATAGTGATCTGTATTCAGTAATCTTGGATTTTACTATTGTTATTGTTTTAATGCATCACAAATTTTACCCACAGAAAATAGCAAACTTAATCAGTAAATGTTGTTTGTGTTCTGCTCCACTGACCAGTCATTCTTCCATCTGTCTCCCTCTTATAGACCCTTCCTATTTGCTCAAACACAACAATATTAAAATTAGGACAATTCATAACCTACAATGGCTTCTAAGTGTTCAAGTAAAGAGTCACATGGGTTGCTGAGGCGGGCAGATCACGAGGTCAGGAGATCGAGACCATCTTGGCTAATATGGTGAAACCCCATCTCTACCAAAAATACAAAAAATTAGCTGGGCGTGGTGGCGGGCACCTGTAGTCCCAGCTACTTGGGAGGCTGAGGCAGGAGAATGGCGTGAACCCGGGAGGCAGAGCTTGCAGTGAGCCGAGATCACGCCACTGCCCTCCAACCTGGCTGACAGAGCCAGACTCCGTCAAAAAAAAAAAAAAAAAAAAAAAAAAAGACAAAGTCACATGTCACTCACTTTAAATCAAAACCTAAATTCAATTAAGCTTTGTGAGGAAGGCACGTCAAAAGCCAAGATATACCAAATGCTAGGTCCCTTGTACCAAGCGGTTAGCCAAGTTGTAAATGTCAAGAAAAATGTCTTGATAACTTGCTGCAGCTTCTCCATCAGCACTTGCTGCTTTGCCTTGCACTTTCGTGTTATGTAGATGGCTTTTTTCCTTAAACCGCATGAACCAAACTTTGCTATCTCCCAACTTTTCTTGAATGAAATTAAAAGTGCTTTCCAGTGAACACCTGAATGCTAAGAAACCAAAACAGCCTGGGTGCTGATATAAATTCATAGTGTTCCACATGGTAAATCAAACAATATAGTTGTAATGTAGACAAAACAGTCTTATACTCAAAGGAGATGTCATCTAGGACTTTCTGAGCTAAAGAGAAGTCAATGCATGGCTTCAAAGCTTCAAAGGACAGGTTGATTTTCTTGTAACGGACTAATGCAGCTGGTAATTTTGAGTTGAAGCCAATGATCATTTACCATTCTAAAAATCCTAGGGCCCTTAAGAACTCTGATAAATCTACTCTTCCTGTGCTTTATAAATGGTACAACAAAGTCCAGATGCCAGCACATCTGTTTACAGCATGCTTTACTTAATATTTTAAGCCCACTGTTAAAAACCTACTGCTCAGAAAAGGTTTCTTTCTAAATATGACTTATCATTGATAATGCACTTGGTAATCCAATAGCTATTATGGAGTATTACAAGATGAATGTGGTTTTTCATGTCTGATAACACAGCATTTATTCTGCTACTACATGGATCAAGGGGCAATTTAGACTTTGAAGTCTTATTATTTAAGAAATACATTTTTTCCTAATGCTATGGCTGCCACAAAGAGTGATTTCTCTGACAGATCTGGTGAAAGTAAACTGAATACCTGCTGGAAAGCATTTACCATTATAGATGTCCTTCAGAATACTTTGGACTTATGGGAGGGTGTCAAAATATCAAAATTAATATAAGCTTGTAAGATGTTTATTCCAACCCTCATGGGTGACTTAGAGGGATTCAAGACTTCAGTGGAGAAACTAACTGCAAATATGATGGGAATAAGCAAGAAAGCTAGAATGAGAAGTGGTGCCTAAAGGTGTGAGTGAATTGCTGCAATCTGGTGATAAAACTTTAATGGATGAGGAGTTGTAACTATGGATGAGGAAAGAATGCGGTTTCATGAGATGCAATCTACTCCTGGAGAAAATGCTCTGAACATGGCTAAAACAAAGGATGTTAAATATTACATAAACTTGGTTAATAAAAAAGCAGAAGGTTTTGAGGTTAACATCAATTTTTAAAAAATGTTCTACTGTGGATAAACTACTATCAAACAACATTGCTTTCTACAGAGGAAACTTTCATAATGAAAGATTTGATTGATGTGGCAAACTTTATTATTGTATTATTTTAAGAAGTTTCCACAGCCACTCCAATCTTCTGCAAAAACAAATGTGATCAAAGAAATATTTAGCCATCAGCATCAAGACAAGATCTTTTCACCAGCAAAATAAAATTACAATTAATTCAATGGTAAAATGATCAATACAACTTTTTAGCAATAAAGTATTTTTAATTAAAACATGTACATTATTTTTGTAAACATAGTATTATTTCACAATTAATAGAGTACAGTGCAAATATAACTTTTAAATGTAGCGGGTAATAAAAAATTGTGTTTCTCACTTTATTGTGATATTTCTTTTACCGTGGTGATTTGGAAGTGAACCTGCAATATCTCTGGGGTATTGTTGTGTTTGCTTTATACATTCAGGTACTCTTATCTCTCACACATTTATTTATAATTGTTAAACTCTTTTTATTACCCCTTAATTTTTAAATAATGGCCGCTTCTCTTTTTTACATTTTTTGGCTTAATGTTTATATTATTTGATATACATATAGAGACCACAGTTCTTTTTTATTTCAATTTTCAAGGATTTTTGTATATCTTGCTTTTCACTTTCAGTCTGTTTACAGAATGAGTGAATTTTTTGCAGGTAGCTTATAGTTAGGTCTTGTTTTTTTTTTCCATTCAATCTTTTAATTGAAGATCTTAATCAATTTACAGTTATGGTAATTATTGATAGTTAAGGGCTTACTACTGCCATTTTGTTACTTGTTTTCTTGTTGCTTTACAGATCCTCTTTTTCTTTTTTTCTTAGTCTTCATTTGTGGTTAACTAATTTTTCTCTAGTAGTATGTTTTTATTCTTTGCTTTTTATGTTTACTGCATACACTCTAGGTTTTGCTTTGTGGTTACAGTGAGACTTACAAAATGTGTTCTACAATTATAACAAGCTTTTGTATTTGTACAGACTTTTCCTTGTATAAATTGATACTTGTATAAACTGATAACAACTTAACTTTAATCTCAAAGGAAAGAAAATAAACAAGCAAAAAGCTGTACACTTTGTTTATTCTCCCCCTACGTTAGGAAATTTTAATATCACAATTTGTAATTTTACATAGCCTATTTCTTAACAAATTACCATAGTTATTTTTATTTTTTATTAGTTTGAACTTTTTGTCTTCATACTGATAATATTTGTAGTTTTTCAGTATTAGAATGCTTGCACCATGATTTCAGTATTAAAATAACAATCATTTTAGCATCTTTTTCTTTCAGTTTGAAGAACATTCTTTATCATTACATGTAGGAAATATCTGGTAGCAATAAATTTTCTAAGCTTTTGTTTTTAAAAGTTTTTATCCATCTTTCATTTCTGAAAGATAATTTTGCTGGACACAGTATTCTCATTTGACAGACTTTTATATTTTTCCCTTCAGCACTCCAAATACATCATCCTACTCCCTCCTGGCCTATAAAGTTTCCGCTGAGGTGTATTAGAAATTCCTCATATTTGCTTCTTTTCTCTCACTTATCTCAAGAGGCTCTTTGTTTCTGACATTTGACAGTTTGATTATTGTATGTCCTGGGGTACTGTTATTTGAGTTGAACCTGCTTGATGACATTTAACCTTATTATGCCTGAATATTTATATCTTTTTTCTGCTTTGGAAAGTTTTCTATTATTATCTCTTTGAATAAGCTTCTAACCTTTTGTCTTTCCCTATTCTTCCTTTAATTTCAATAACCCAAATATTTGATCTTTTGATTTTGTTCCATATATCTCATTAGAATTCTTCATTATTTTTAGCCTTTTCTCTACTAATAATGTATTTTCAAGTAGCCTACCTTCAGGTGTACTGATTCTTCTGATTGATCATTTCTACTGTTGATGTTTTATATTGCATATTTCATTTGGTTCTTTGTATTTTTCAGCTCCAGAATTTGAGTTTTATTTCTTTTTAATTATTTCAATTTTTTTCTGTTAAATTTCTCAGATAAATTTCTGAATTAACCCTATATATGTTTTCTTGTGGTTTCTTGAGTTTTCTTAAAAAGGGTATTTTAAGTACTTTGAGAAATTCACACATTGTCATTACTTTTGTGTGCATCTCTATCACCTTTGTTTGGTGAGGTCATATTTCCCTGAATGTTTCTGAAACTTGTGAATGTACAATGATGTCTGCCCATTGAGGAATAAGGTATTTATTCTAATCTTTGATGCCTGGCTTTGTTTGTGCCCGTCCTTCTTCAGAGAGTCTTCCAGAGATTCTAAGCCGACTGACTATTATTGTATTTCCTGATTCTGTGGTCACTGCAGCCACCTCATTGATACAGGATTCTCTAAATCTAGGCTTGTCATGAGTCTCACAAAGACTCTGAGTTTGACATTGCGAGAATATTGGAACTGTATGGGAAAGTTGGCCGGGACTTTAGCCTAGAAGACTGTTCCAGTTACTCAGATGGGCATGTTTCTCAGCAGGTCCCTGTACAGGCAGAATGTTCACCAGCTTCAGCAAAAAAGACCAAAGCTGAGACTGAGCCATCTCAGGATCTGCTTTGGAATGGCAGTTGGTGAGCCCATCATGCAGGCTTAGACACTTGGACTGAAAGAAATGAGTTAGTCTCCTTTTGTGTCTTTTTGTTTAGAGTTCTGAGCCAGGATTTCAGCTGAGGGGAGCAGGAACCTAGCCACAGGGCAACTTTCAGGTTTACTGTCAAGATAAATGTCAGCAGACAGATGAGCCTCTTCACCAATGTACTAATGTGTGTGATTTCTCCTAAAACCCTTGAAAGATGATTTTGGCTACAGGCTCAAAGCTCTTAGGGGTGAGGCAGTTCCTAGGCTTGAACCAAAAGTAGAATCAGCAGATCAGCCACTTGGGTGCCAACCTGCACACTTGAAATGACCCAACTATGTCTTGGGCCCCACGGAGTTTTATAAACTTCTACCTGAATCCCAAGTATTTTTTTCTGTGGATGGGTTCAGAATTCTTGTTGCTACAGGGGAATATGAATCAGTTACTTCCTAGTCTGTCATTATGATAATATTCTATTTTTATATTCTGTGCAATTATTCATTAAGACAGTAATTCCAAAGCAGGATATTTCTTTGTCAAGATAGAGCTGAACAAACTATACCTCTGTGGAAATAATAAACTTATCAAATGTGACTTAAGGAGCACATAGTATGGAACTTCTAAGCTTCTGAATATATTTTTTTATTTTGGTGGATGTATCTTCTATTATATATACGTTGCATTTGTTTCTCAAATTAAAGATGAAAATTAGCATGTTATAATGATATTTCTTTTGGCTTTAAGTAATTTTGAAGAGGCTACTTTTCCTTACTGACTAAAAGTTAACATCAGGGCCAGGCACAATGGCTCACACTTATAATCCTAACACTTTGGGAAGCTGAGGCAAGAGGATTACTTTATGTTGGGAGTTCAAGATCAACCTGGGCAATAGAGTCAGATCTTATCTCTACAAAAATAAAAATAAATAAATAAATAAATAAATAAATAAATTTGCCTGACATGGAGGCCTGTGCCTGTAGGCCCAGCTACTTGGGAGACTAAGGTGAGAGAATCACTTGAGCTTAGGAGGGTAAGGCTGCAGTAAGCTATGACGGTGCCACTGCACTCCAGCCTGAGTAAAAGAGCAAGACCCTGTTTCAGAAAACGTGTGTGTGTGTATTATGTAATATATACACATATTTTATATTTATATACACATGCATATGAAATAATAGTTAACTTTAACCTTCAAGTCTCTATTTATTTTACATTTTAAAAGGAAAAGAGAGGGATAGTTGGTGCATGTGAAAAAATATCATTTGAAATTTTGTTTTAAAAAAAAGTTTTTGACAAAATTTCCTTTCAGGTAAAAATAAAATATTCTTTTCAAGTATGAAGTATCATAACCAACATAGTAACTTGCAAAAATATAAAATGTAGCATAATCATTTGTATTTATATAGTTAATTAAATAGTAAATTATATGACCCAGTTTCATTTATGCAATTAGCAATTAAACTAAATCTCTTACCCTAAATTACTGGAGATATGATGGTGCCCATGAGAACCAGCAGGATACCATCTATTTTAAGTATGCTTTAATAGCAGGTTATGATAAATTTTGGAATATTTTCATTTATTCGGTAATTTATAAATTTTTGAGAACTGTTAAGCTCTATCTAAAATATTGTAGAAATCACACCTATTTTCTAATTTTTAGTTAATAATAGGCAAGGGACAATAATAGTTATTTTTTCTTATTCTTTCTTTCGAATTTCTAAACTGAACTTAACCAAAGAAGAATAATAAAACTTAATAACCTTCTTTTTTAATAATAACTTTCTTATTTTATTTATTTTTATAATACAGGGAATATTTTGTTTTCTAGTATAGTCGTGTTCAAAGGTAGAGATTCATACCAGTATTTCAGCTCATATATTAAGCTAAATTTTATATCTAAATTGCATATTGTAGAAGACATATAGGTGAGATTTTAAGTTGTTGTCTTAAATATTGCTTTGGTCTGAATGTTTCTTTTTCTCTAAAATTTATATGTTGAACTCTAATTACCAATGTGATGGCACAAAGAGGTGGGCTTTTGGGAAGTGATTAGTTATGAGAGTTAAACCTTCAGGAATGGAATTATTGCCCTTTACAAAGAGACACCATAGTACTCCTTCTCTGTCTAACATGTGAGGCGACAGTAAGAAGGTGCCATTTTATAAACTGGAAAGTTGAACTTCACCAGACACTAATTTTACCAGCACATTGATCTTGTACTCCCCAGCCTCCAGAACTATGAGAAATAGATGTTTTTTATTTATAAGCCACCTATTTTATGGTATTGTGTTTTAACAACTCAAATAGAGTAAGACAAATATGAAATAATTGAACATTTACAAACACTTGAGCTAGCCACAGTATTTAAACAAAGGAATTAGAATTAGATAAATGAGATAAAACAGTTAAAAACTGCTATGGTTTGAATGTGTCCTCTTCATGTGTTAGAATCCTAATCTCTCTGCCTTCATGAATGGATTAATGTGACCTATGCTCTCATTAATGAGTTAGTAGATTCACGAGAGTTCTGCCTTCATGAATATATTAATGTTATTATTGTGGGAGTAGATTCATTATCATGGGAGTGGCTTTTTTATAAAACTAAGCGTTCCTTGGCTCTCTTGCTCTTGTCCCTCACCACGTGATGCCCTACATTATATTATGATGGAGCTATAAGGCCCTAACCAGATGCTGATGCTATGCTCTTGCATTTCCCAGCCTCCAGAACTATGAGCCAAATAAACTTCTATTCTTTATAAATTACCTAATATTTGGTATTGTTTTGGTAAATGAAATGGACTAAGACAGAAGCCATCTTGGTTATCATAATTCTATTGTAGCTTCTTCTTAATAATATTAATATAATTTGTTAGAATTTTTGTAAATTAGCACCATATCCTTTTGTAATAAAATAAATTAGCAACTTCTATGAGTTAGCAAGTTAATTTTTTTAGAAATTTTACATCTGGCATTTCTAAATGCTAAATATGCTAAAATATGAAAACAAGATATCTTGACACAAAATGTAGTTAATTTATGTTAATAAAATTTTTAAGTATTTAAATTTAAGTGAGATAAGTTTTTAATCATCCACCTATCAAAAGTACTTGCTTAGATTTATACCTCTTAATAGTTGTTAAATATTTAATGTTTATTTTTTATTCATGAGATATGAATATACGTTTCCTTTGCATTATAAATATCTGAACGTTGGTGAAATTATATCTTTCAGGGAACATGAGGCTGTATCAGAGGTGATGTCCACTCTGACTCCAAAAGTTACAGGCATGTGGGCTACATACACATCACGGCAGTTGTAACTGTTCCTCCATACTGATTGGCAGAGTGGCTTAGCCTTTTGAGGAGCTATGGGCTTCTTAGGTAAAGAGGTTAGCAAGCATAGCACAGAAGAAACCCCAGCATATTAATATATCACTTCTTGGAAACCAGAAAGTGGATGCTGTTGCATGGGAAACAAACCCTTACCAATTAGCCCTGCAGTTCAGTTCCACACTGGCAGACACTGTAGAAGCTGCTCATGTGAATTAAGAACTTTATGATTTGGAGCCACTCTTGAAGACAATTCTGACCTCAAATTTCTGACATTCCATTCCTCAGAAGGGAAAGACTGCTCTGGCACTCCAGTGCCCATGTCCTGTGGGCAGCAGCTGAACAATTCCTAGGTGCTATTCTCCGTCCAAGGCTGTTTTTTTACCATAATCTCTTCCCAAGAAAGGAGCAGACAACCTGCGTCTCAGAGTGCCTGCTTTGCCACAGATTTCCAGGGAACTTACAGCTCTGCTTAATTCTTCTGTAGGATAGAGGTTTCCTATATCAGCTTTGCCAGCTGTTCAAGACAACCACTTTAAACTTCACCTGAGCCAGGAGAAAGTCACAAGTCTGACAGTAACAGTATATGGGCATGGCGTATTGGTTGACCTTTGCTGAGTCCCCACCTTTGGCATACTAGACAGATTGAAAGATTGAAGTTGCTAAGAAACTTTTCATCTTTATGGAGGTCTTCTGAAGCTCTAGAGACACTGCAAAGAGTTCTCCACAGCAGAGTTTGTGAAAACCTTGGAGGTATGGAGAGAGGAAACTGATTTGCAGACCACTGCCATGTTGGGAAGGAACAGGAGCTCTTCTGCTTCCATGAACTGAGCCCTGGAAGCTGCTGCTTCTTGCCACGAGGGACAAGGGTGTATACTGCATTACTGGTATTTATCAAGGCTGAGTAGGCCCACCACAGTGTTCTCTACAAAACTCTGGAACATTCAGGGCACTGGGAAAATTAAAGGGCAGACATGTTTGCCCCTGTAGCCCCAGACTCTGACAGGCCTGACAGCTCTAGGCATCCCCAAGACACACCCTACAGCCCATAAACTGCCCTACATGCTGCCTGATGTTCACCCACCCCCTCAGATCCTGGAGGAAGCTACCACTGCAACTGGTTGACTTCTAGGCCCTACAACTGACTGAGGCCTCCAGCAGTCCTGGGAGACTTACCCAGCCATGGTGCTTCCAATAGGATGATGGAAGATCAGCACCAGATCAGTGGGAAGCAGAGATCTGAAGCTGTCTTGATTTCCTCCACTATGTCTATGTTGTCCTTTGCTGCTTCTTCTGCTTGGCACTGTCCACCTTGCCATCTGGCTTCCTCAGGGAGCATTGCCTTTGGGAATAGGCTAAACAGGTCCTTCAATGGACCCTGGAGGAATTTGGAGAACTCTTGAGACCTGAACTTTGGAGTTGGTGCTTTCTATGGTCCCCAGATTGACATGAACCTTCACAGTGTCCCACAGTGTGGGATAATCAAGCTTGACTTACAACTGTCCCTGAGATTTGACTTTCAGTACAAGTGGCCGACAGGAGTCCTAGAGTGTCCAGTTATTCATCAAGCAGCGTTCAGTTCTGTGGAAAGGGTGTTGGGAGCAGGCACATAAAGCTGTGAGGGAAAATAGATTCTCTGGCTGTCCCTGTTCCAGGTGGTGTTTATGTCTGTGGATTCTGAGCAAGAGAAATGTCAGGGAAGAACAACAAAGCCTGTAGTCTGCAGGATTGGTCAGTGACCTGGAAGCTGACTCTGGACTGACCCTCAGTTGGAGAGTCTGCTGGGCCCAGCTTGCCCACTGGGTTGGCCCAAAAGAGCAAAGTAAGAGAACAGTGGACATTTGGACTCTAGATAATCGTTGACTTGGCTAGCAGGACTTGACTAAGTCAAGCAGTGGCGGTGGAGCTACAGAACACCAGGGTCCCAAATGCTGAAGAAATTTTCTGAGCCTTTGTACATAAATGAGGCAAAGACCTGTGAGAGCTATCAACCTCTTTTAATATGGGAGACCATAACCCAGCTCACAGTCTGGAGTCCCTCAGAGTCCTCAGAGCTGATGGAGGCATGTGTCTGTTCTCCTGGAAAGAGACTTAGTTTGGGGACCCCACAAAGGGAGGAAAGTTGTAGCTGTTGGTATGTGAAGAGAGTAAAACTAAAATAAATAAACTGGAAGCTTCTGTTTTTTTTTTTTAATATGCTTTTCAGGAAAAGTATTTCTATATTGTTAAAACTAAATAGTTTATATTTATCAAGGCCAATTAATTAGGCACATATTAATCCACTAAATTATCATTTATCTTTCAATGGTTTATAATCATGTCAATAGTTTAAAGCTGGAGGGCAATTTTTCATTTTGAAAAGGCAATTGTGATCTTCTAAAGTAAAATTATTAAATAGTTTCGTTTAGCTCAACCCAGAAACATGCATTCCCTTCTTAACCTCTGTGCATTTTAAGAGTTAAAGCAAATTTCAAACAGAAGGTGAATTTAATGTCATTTTATTACTCTTTTAAATTTTATATTGTTTCCCAGTTGTTGTGAACATTTGATATTTTAAGGATGTCATCATCTAACTCCATTCCCTACAAATACTCTAATTTTTTGTTTGTGTGTAATCTTGGTGAGAGACTGTGTCTTCAATTAAAAGTGTAAGCGACCAGATTCACCCCACAGCCCTACTTCCACTGCCTAGGACCAGATATTTTACCTTGCTCAATCTATCTGATGTTTCTCAGAATCACTGTCCCCCACACACCTAGCCACTATGCAATGACTCAGCAAAGAAAGGAGTATGGATGTTATAGGCTATGAGCAAATGTTCCAGTGCTTGGTCATTGATATGGTTCCTGATGCTCAGCCTTTGGGGCATCCTTAATTTCTACACTTTCTCCAAGTCTGTACCTTCAAACTATCATCCACCTGAAACTCATTTGGTGATAATCATTTGGTGAAATTCATTTGGTAATAATCACCAAATGAATTACATTTTTGCCTAACTTAAACTTAATTACATAAAGTTGTAATTTAA
Organism: Homo sapiens; assembly: GCF_000001405.40. NCBI lineage: Eukaryota > Metazoa > Chordata > Mammalia > Primates > Hominidae > Homo > Homo sapiens. Next base: position 135,564,036 of record NC_000004.12, on the reverse strand, counting down.
TAGTTCATACCTAAATGCTTCTTTCACTTGTATTTTTCCATATATTAAATGTAATGTCCACACACAATTGTTCATACTGTTTTTACCTCTTTGGAGCTTTTCATTTTTACAAAAAATAATATAGTCCTCATTCTGCAAAATTTTGCAATAATATAAATCTGTGGTTTGAAAACATATATATGTCTTTGATACTTAAATACTTTCACAGCCACTCTTCTGCACCTATCACCTATATTAGGTTTGCGTCTTGAACTTCATGAAACAAAATCATACAATATGTGCTCTTTTGTGTATGGCTTATTTTTCTTATCATTGTGCCTATGTCATTCATTCATATTGTTTTCTGAAGCAGTCACATTTTTATTGCTGTATTGTATTTAATTGTATAGTACACCTTGGTCCTTGGTTCTTTTATTGTTTCTTCTTTTGAAAGGTAATTCACTTGTTTCTGGAAATATTTTGAATATATCTGCTATGAATGGTCTTGGGAATGTGTTTTGATAAATGTTTGCACTCATTTCCTTAGAGAGATAGATAGATGAACAGATAAATATTCATATATGTTATGTAAAATATATGTAGAATTTCTGAGTGAAGAAAAAAAGCAAATGTTTTACTTCAGTGGATATTAATTAAAAAGTTGCCAAAGTAGTTTTAGTCACTTTTTTTTTTTTTTTGAGATGGAGTCTCACACTGTTGCCTGGGCTAGAGTGCAATGGTGCTATCTTGGCTCACTGCAACTTCTGCCTCCTGGGTTCATGTGATTCTCCTGCCTCAGCCTCCCAAGTAGCTGGGATTACAGGTGCACACCACCACACCTGGCTAAATTTTTTGTATTTGTAGTAGAGACAGGGTTTCACTATGCTGGCCAGACTGGTCTCGAACTCCTGACCTTGTGATCCACCCTCCTTTGCCTCCCAAATTTAGATTACAGGCGTGAGCCAACTAGTCCAGATGTTTTATTCACTTTCATGCCCACCAAAAGCATATGAGTTTTACAGATGCTTCGAATTATTGCCAACCCTTGGTATTATTAGTATTTTTAATTTTCTAGGTTTAGTTTGCAATTAACTATTGAGTAAATATGGTGAGCTATCTGGTGTCTTCTTCATTAATGTGCCTATTCTAAGTTTTGGCCCATTTTTAAATTGATTTTTTTTCTTTTACTTTTTGCTTGGTAGTTTTATTTTTATAGAGTATGAATTCTTGCTTGGATAGAAGTACAGATTTTTTATTTCATTACTTGCTTCACAATATTATTGGTATATTTTGGTGAACAGAAATCTTTAATTTTAATGTAGTTCAAGTTATCAAACTTTTACATGTGATGCTTTTTCTTGCCCAACCCAAGCTCTTAAAGATACTGTTTTATATTTTCTCCTACAGGTTTCCTAGGAGACAACATAAGATACTACTAAGTGGTATTTTTCCCAAAAATGGAACTTGGTATTTGAAAATCAAAAATGTAATTAAACATATTAACAAACTAAGATAGAATATTTATATGAGCATCTTATTTGTTAAAAGTAATTAACAAATTCCAACATCTGTTTCTAATTTTAAAAAAGAACAAAAATTTAATCAAAATAGAAATAGAAGAGAAATTCTTAACCCTGGCCAAAAACATCCAAAAAAAACCCTATAGCTAATATCCTATTTAAGGAAAAAATGAATTATTTTTACATAAGATCAGAACAAGACAACAATGTCTACTTTTATAATTTTTATTCAACATTGTACTAAAGTTCTAGCCATTGCAATCAGGTGATAAAAAAATAAAAATTACTGAGACTTCAATGAATAAAACTCTTTTTATTTATAATAATTTTTGCAGAAAATCTGAAGGATCTTAAAAAAAAGAATGGAACTAATTAATGAGTTTAGCATATTTACAAGATATAAGATAAATGCATGGTTGTCAATTTTATTTCCATTTCCTAGCAATGAACAACCAGTAATTAAAATAATTATTTAAAAATAGCATTAATAGCACAAAAAATAAAAATACTTATGGAAAAGGAATTAAATAATAACTATATAAATGAAGAAATATATCTTATTCATTGCTCATGAGTCTCAATATTAGTAAAATGTCAATTCTTCCCAAATGGATTCAGCAAAATCCCAACGAAAATCCTATTTGCTAATAGATATTCCGCATTTCTGTTCTGTTTGTAGCTAGATTTAAGAGCCTTTCATCATTTTCTTTCCCTATCTTTACTTGACGCTGCTAAGGTATAGTTTACTCTAAATTAACTTAGTGTGAGTGTCTCATACATCAGTTACTAAAGTTCCTTTGTATTCTAAATGATCTAGTCATTAAGACCATCTATTTATCAACCTTGTGCTTTAGTGTAATGATGGTTGAACTACAAATGAAAATAGTGACCAAGAAGAAAAAAAAATCTATGACTTGATAATTTGAATCAGTATATTGCCACATCACTCTAAAAATGTCTGAATCTGTGTTTGATCTAAATATCCAAAAGAGAAAGAATACATGAAAATGTGGGCAGGATACAATGGAACAAGCCCTTAACCCCCTGAGCAAAATTAACAAATAGTCTTTCACATTTTCACAGGTTAAAAATTTAGAGATAAAATAAAGTATAATAGGCTCTTTGATGGGCACTGTGATGGCTTCATGATGTATAGACTTGGCTAGGCTGGCACCCCTAGGTGTTCAGTCAGATGCTAATCTAGGAGCTGCTGTGAAGGGATTTTGCAGATTTATTAAAGTCCCCAATTAATTGCTTTTACATAGGGGTATTATCTTTAGTAGGCCAGACTTAAATGATTGGAAATTCCGTAAAGCAAGGCTGAGGCTTTTAGAGAGAGGGGAAAATTCCACCTCTGGACAGCAGCTTTGGCTCATTCTTGCAGAGTTTCTTTCTGCGGCGCTCTGCACAGTCTCTTCCTGATGGGCCTGCCCTACAGACTTCCAACTTCTTTGTCTCGGTGTTTTAACCTCGGCAGGGTTGTTTCTTGGTGCATGCCCCTCTTCCTGTTAATGCAGTATGACAGCCATATCAAATGACACTTGGACAAGTCAAAGTTTCTCTGTGGCCATGGTTGGTTGGTTGGTTGGTTTGTGAAAAGTGGGGTTGACCGAGGAGGCCAAGTGCGTCGAAATCAGTTCTGCAGCAGCATGTCTCAATACTAGTGGTTGTTCTTGTTTCCCCTGGCCCTGAGTGGGCTAGAGCCTGAGACAGGAGGAGATGACTTTATTAGGAGAATAGGAAAAGTGTAACCTATTAATTGGTTTTGGCAAAAACAACTTCTGAGAATATTTTCACTTTATGTGAGAAATAAATACAAATCTCATTTTATGATGTATTTTATATCTTAGTTGTTTCTGAAAGTGTTTTGATTTCTGGAAAAACATCAAAATAAATAATGACATTTGTTGTAAAAATGTGTGTGTGTGTGTGTGTGTGTGTGTGTGTGTACCCAGAGAGAAGGAGGTTCTTTCTGATATCTATGTTACCACTTTATTTTATTTAGAATGTTTTAATAAATCAAGAATCAAGATTCTGGCAATATTTAAAATAGAATTTCCGAAGGCTATCTCACATGCCCTAATTAATTTAGTTTATTAAGTTGATATTCCCATTTAATTTACATTTCTTATATTTAGATGTGCTGCCAAGAACACATAATTCAACTGGTATTTTCCCAGAAGTGAAAAGGTTTGAGTATTTTAAATATCTTATAGCTTTATTTTTCCAACTAGAGTCAGAGTCTTAAGTAATATGATTAGCATAGTCTCCAAATTTCATTAGAAATTGACATAATACATATAAACTCTTTGACCTAATTGATGGTAGAGAAGAAGGAATTTTTAAATCAGAGCATATCAGAGTATGTATAATTAGACAGCTCAACAATGAGGGTGGCTGCATTACTACTTAAGATTTACTATTATTTTTAAAGTAATTCTTATTCACCAAAATGAAAAAAAATGACAAATATAGATTGTTCTGAAAAACAACCAGCAGAGATTGTTCTGAAAAAATCTTTTGTTACTGTCAAGTTATTTTCTTAGGTGACTCTTTAAGAAATGATATCTGAGGAACATAATATGATTCTCCAGAGTGAACCAAATCCATGAGGTCTTTGGTATCTTTACAATTTTGTCACAAACATTGTGGAGATATCAAAATATATCTGTAATGCAAGGTACAATATAAAGTGATTATTTTCTTTGAACATGATTTTCTATTTTAATGCTGTTTTTATTACTGAAATATATACATCCGTTATTCACTCATGAATATTTACTCTCATGAATATGTTAACTACAAAAATCTCCATTACTTTCTCTATCAAATATTGAATTAAGGTCTATGCATAGTAAATTTAATAACGTCTCTTCAGAACTTAAATCATCACCCACTAATTCATACAAATTTATCTGTCATATATATCATACATATGATATATATGTTCCCTTTCTAATCAGAAATATAATAAATCAAACCCAAGACATTATTTTTGGCAAAGGCTACTTACTATATACACTGACTAAAAATGACATTATCTGTAAAATATTAATATAAATTTAGATCATACCAAAATGTGTATAAGCCTCTGAAATTAATCAAGTTATCACAATAAAAACCTAATACTTTTCAGAACTTCTAACAGGATGGTTAAAATGGATAAGATGTATTACAAAGAAAGCTTTCAAAATAATTACAAAATTATGTCCAGTAGTTATTGAATGCCACAATGAATCTAAAAGTTTAAGTTTCATACCACATTAATAACTTGAAAAAAAAAGACTTGATGAACATGTTATTTTGAATATTTTATCAAGCAAAAGACTAAGTATAAAAGGAAGTAGGATTAAGAAGAATTTAAACATCTCTCTTTCTCACAGTTTGCCTAATTTTCCTTTACTTCATAGAGCCATATGTTCTGATAAAACCTATGTTTGAATGATGACAACAAAGGCAGAAAGGGAAGTTACCTATGTGATGTGTTTTGAAGAAGCCAAGATAGATGTGCTAAACCTGAGCATTATCCAATCCCCAGCTAAATTTCTGAGCTTCTAAAATTGAATTTAAAAAATGGACACTACCAATAAGATAGAAGCTCACCTTTAAAAGTATATAAATTAATTAGGAAGAAAAAAAAAGCGTAACTAATCTTCTTCCATTTAACAGGAAGCTTCAGATTAGTTTTTTAATTTAGGAAGGTGCCAGTTTTGAAAGTTAAGACAGGGTGGGGTGCTTAATGTCTTAAGGAAGATGATAAGAAAGAATGAGTTAGATCAAGAGGCAGAATAAGTTTCAAAAAATTGCAGAACTTGAAGTGTACTTATCAGGAAATAAAATGGAAACAAACTGGATAAGAGAGACTTAGTATATTTTACATACTTCACCAGTCTATTGATGCCATGTCTAAGTTTCACAGAAGGCTCAGACCTTACTGTGACATACCTCACCAGAGAGCAAATGTCAGGGGAAAGGCAAAGATACGTTTTGCATTCACATAATGAGAGTCCAACTGGCAAACAGTTTCACAAATATAATAGATAAATGATAAATGTTTCATTTTATATATTACTTTTAAATACTAATCTTTCTTCTAGATGCCATATTAATTCAATTTATGAAAAATATTTTTCTAAAACCATCTACTTCTTCTGGTAAAGGTTAAAGAGTTTCTTGTCAAATAAAAGCATGCTATTTTTTAAATAAAGGGCAGGTATGTTAATATAACTTGGATTTACTTGCATATATGTCTTAAGTCTTACTGCATGATTGGATAAGATGACCTTTATGTCCATCACACCCTGAGACTTTACAATTATCTGATTAAATAACTTTTATTTATTCTTATTATATACAATATGAAATGCGATATGCCACCAACACTTCTAATTAAGTAGTACTTTTCTAATCATGGAGATTTCTGTACCAAGAGCTCAGGAGTAAATATGAATAACCAACTCCATAGAGTTTATTTTGATCATGTTCATGAGTACTATGATTAGAACTTCAGGTGCCAGGATGAAAAGCTTCAAACTAATTGGAAAAATAGGTGAAAGACTCATGACCAGCACGTTGATATGAAAAAAGAATTTATCTCTATTTGGCATTTATTAGCAGTGTAATCTAGATCAAGTCAGCATAGTAAGACTATCTTATTACAGCAAAAGATTTTATGAGGATTAAAACCACTTATTTTAAACCATTTTAGAAGATTAAAAGCACTTATTATTAAAACCACTTATTTGATTCTAAAGTGTTATATAAATTTATTTTATGAAAATATTGTCATAATTATATATTTATAGTAATATAATAGGAATAGAAATTTTTTTCTATATTACCTTCTGAACTAGTTTAGTTTCTTTCTTTGTAATACTGCAGGAAAAGGTGACTTTTCTGGAAAGACAAATTTGGTAGAGAACATGAGAAAAATCTGTCCTAAGTCTTTTGATTTCTAATATTTTTTACCACATGCAGGTATAAAACCTGATGCATCTTCTAACTTTGTTCCTTGTAGTTTATTTAATCAGCTATGTTTGTGATTCCCACATACTAATCACAAACTTGTATGAATATTTTCAATGTGGAAAACTCTGGAGAATAGAAATATATAGTTAATAATTAGTTGATAGAAGTTAATGAAGAAAATGGAGTCAGGGACCATTGGAATAACAATTAAATCCTCTCCTTTTAATCAAACTACAAGTTTTCGATTTTCACGCCCTCATCATTTTAGGTGGCCTGTACAATTCTATTTTTTTCTTGATATGCACCAATCAAAAATACAGAAATAAAAGGACAAATTGGATAGAAGCAAGTTTTAATGTTCATGTTCAGTAGCATTGTTACTAATCTCTATTGCTTTTGTGAAATTTGGTTCCTTTTAAATTCTATTGCATTAACAGAACATTTCAGATAACCAAAAAAAGGTGCAAAAAGCTAGGGCTTAAAAGAGACAGAAAAATTTCTTCAAAGCTGATGCAAGATATCATCAAAATTTAATTTATATGCCACAATGCTGTTTAATATATGGCATAGGCTGAATAATATTAAAATAGCATATTGATTTTTTAAGATAAAGTCCATTACACTTAAATCTAGTTACTAAATAGACCACGTAGAATATGAAAGCTACTTTTATGATTAATCATCTCATGTAGCAATTTTTAAAAAAATCTGCACATGTACATATAGATTAATTGAATAATTCATCTAACATATACATGCAAATTATAAAGGAAAATCATTGATTACATAGACTATTGGTCTCAGTTCCACCTACTATGACAAATTATCATAGACTGGGTAAGTTAAACAACAATTTCTTACAATTTTGGGAGCTGGAAAGTCTAAGATAAAGGTGCCAGGAGATTCATTTCTTGATTAGAGCCCTCTTTATGGCTGGCTTACAACCATCTTGTCTTCTCATTTTGTCCTCACATGGTGAACAGAAGAGAGAGAGGAAGCAAGCTCTCTACTCTTTTTATAAGGGCATTAATCCCATTCATGGACTTCAACTCCCGAAGTCTCCACAGGTCAGGATTTTGACATACGATTTTTCGGGGAAGGGAGGGTAACAAATATTCAGTCTATAGCACTCTTAATGAATAAACGTCTCTTGATTCCCACAATTGTAGTGTTCCATAAAACTATGGATTAGCCAAGGTTCTCCAGAGAAATGGAATTAATAAGACACACACACACACACATATATATAGTATATATAGTGTGTGTATATATATATATATATATATATATATATATAGTATATGCATATATATAGAGAGAGAGGTGATTAGATAGGTCGATGGATAGATGATAGATAGATAGATAGATAGATAGATAGATAGATAGATAGATAGATGTAACAGGAGATTTGTTATGGGAATTGGCTTCCACAATGATTGAGAGTAAAAAGTCCCACCATCTGCCATCTGTAAGCTGGAGAACCAGGGATGCTGGTGATATAATTCAGTCTGAGTCCAAAAGCTTGAAAACCTGGACTTCTGATACCTGAAAACAGGAGAAGATAGAAGTCCCAGCTCCAAAAGAGTGAGTAGATTTGCCTTCATCTTCTCCCTGACTTTTGGTTCTAACTGGGCCTGCAACAGATTGGATGATGCCCACCCATATTGGTGAGGGTTGGTCTTCCCCTTACACAGCCTACTGATTCCAATGCCAATCTCTCCTGAAAATATCATCACAGCATACTCAGAAATAATGTTTTACCTGTTATCTGGGTATCTCTTAATCCAGTCACACTGACACCTAAAATTAAACATCACAGCATCCTTTGGGAATGCTGCAATGGGCTGGTGAGAGACTCATTTTTATAAAAGTCTCTAATCTTCTGAATCTCTGCAGTTAAATTATAATGGAAAGACCTAAACCCCAATCAGGAAACTATTATATAAGTAATTTTTGCTACCTGTATGGTCTTACATCTAATAACAAGAAAGCCAACTCTTTTTGCTATCTATTAACATAATTTGAGAAATATTCCAGTTCATTATCAATGATTTAAATATTGTGCCCTAGATGAGTGTAATCTGAAAACTTGAACATTGCATGTGTTCAGCCTCTTCCTAATTGCCTGATCTACAATTTCATCTTCCCAGCAAGTCATGTCTTCCTTGCTGTATAATTTCTCCTTAGCATTTGTCACTATCTAACATTACATATGTGTTTGCCCTAAATTGTGATCTCTATGAGAGATTTTTGTCTGTTTTGTTTACTGCTGTGTCCCAGGCCCTAGAAGAGTGCTAAGTGATTCATGGTGTCCAATAAACATCTGTGGAATTAATGCAGGAATAAGAATGAGAAATATTTTTCCAGGAAATAATTTTATTTATATTTTTATATCTAGAGATGTGTTTATTTGTTCCTACAGGTAGTATGATAGATAAATGTTTCCTTCAATACATGACAAAAGTGAGTAAGTAAAAATGAAATTCAGTGCTTTTATTCACCATTAAACATTATACAGAATTGGAGGAAGGAGAGAAAAAAAAAACTATTCCTGGTAAATTTAGATGCACTCTAAATGTCTTCATACATTATAAGTTGTTCAAATAAGATTCATTATATTCACTTATTTTCTAAGTAGTAGCATGAAATGCTTAAAGCTAGAGTTGGCTTAATTTCAACAAATTAGTTTTACTTTAATAACCCAGAAAATTAAGCAAATTTATTTTTCTCAAGGTTTAACATTAAAGCTGAGTTTATATCTTTGGGGAAATTATTACTTCTACTTAACAAGAATAGTTATTTGTACATTTTGCAAGATAAACATTTATATTTTCAGAGGCCTCTCTTTTCAAGATCATTACCAAATACTGGGATTTTGATGACCAACTTCAATTAAAACTAAATAGTATTTTGAATTATAAGTTTTTTTTTTTCAAAACTGAGTCTATTAAAACATTTAAGTTTTTATTTTATTTTGTTAAAATGACACATTACATTGCTTCTATTATATGTTTCTTTAAGAAAGTTAATCTATTCGATTTCTAATCTTTTTGTGCCTGCTTATGACACATAAAGCAAAATAATGATAACGTCGCATATTTCTAATGAACTAACTTACGGAAACAATTAATTTTAACAAGACTTTGTTTCGTTCATTTGTGATTTCTTCTCTTTTTCAAATATGTACGGAACTGCACTATATTGTTCTAGGCACTAGGAATTTAGCAAGTGGAATTTATAATCTCATAAGAAGAAAAATATAATAAACAAAACATGAATGATATTTAATTATGAGTGTTATGAGTAAACAGTATATGATGATACTGACTGTGAAGGGCAATATTTAGGCAAGATTTAAAAGATGAAGCAGAGAAGGCCATTGAAAATTTATTTGGATATCTTGTAAGAGAGATACAGGCACAGAGAAGTTCAAAATTCTTCATAAGAAGCGGTTAAAGGAAGAAACAAATTCTGTTTTTTTCAACAACAAAAAGGAACATTGTGGATAGAGTGTGCTGTCCAAGTACGAAAAGGAGGCAAGGCTGGAGAGAGGGGCAGGGACAAAACCTTGTGTAGTATAGCGGGCATTGGCTTAAAAAGATATCCACGTGCATAAATTAACCTCTTGTCCCTGATCTCATTCTGATTACTCCTATAATCATTGAATTACCATAATATTTTTGTGTACTGATGATTAGAAGTGGTTTACAAGATAATAAAAATTTGCAAGAAATCATAATAAAAATGCTTTTTATCTCATATTCTAAGTTAATAGCAACACTTGCTGTCATTTTAGATATTCCACTACTGGAGTTTCTAAGGAACTGTGTTCCATCAGATTCTGTACAGCTGTTCACATAAACTTATCTATGTAAAAAACAAACAAATACAAAAAATATACAGAAGTGGCTATGAGTCCTCTACAGAGAAAGCAGAATTGTAAGCATTCCCTCCCCATCAGAACACACATTGTTCTCTTAGAATTGGCTTTGAAAATAGAAAGGATGCACATATCTTTTGCAATTTGGTGTTTTCCTGGGGTGGGGAGATGGTGGGGGAGTCTAGTGCCTGTTTATTTTCATACAGAGATGTCTGAAGTTGAAAGACTTACTGGATTATGCAGAACACACAGGCCAAATGGTACCCATGGGTACTGACAGAGTGCAAACAAACACATCTCTATTCCCTGAGGCTCTTTGTAAGACTCCAGAAGTCCATGCTGAACAGAAATGGCAACAGTTCACGAGACAGGGAAGGAGTGGTTTATATGCTAGGATGCTGTAGGTGAGAGACAAAAGAAGACACAGTTGCCACTCTGGAGTCCTCAGCAATAGAGAACCAGTTGCTTGAGAGTTTATTGGAGAGCACCAAAGAAGTCACATACATGCTTTGTGGAGACCACCTTTTTGTCAGGCTGGAAACACAGACTGGCTCTGCCTTATTTGTCTTAAAGACCGTGCAGTCATGTAATCAGACTCCTCTTTTCACACTTGATTCCAGGCAAAGTCACCCTTTGAAAAGAAACAGGACAGGTAACAGATTTGGGAGGAAGTTAAACAAACTTCTTTTGAAAATAAAGACTTGATATTGAAATAACTGGACGATTGAAACACTTGACGGCAACTGGAATTTTAATCCCTGGTCAGTTTTTGCAATCACTGGTCCGAACCGGGGAAATGTTTTTCACCAGAAGCAAACCTCATGACAAAAATTCAGTGCAGACAACTTAGTTGAGAGATAAAAAGAGGAGTAGAGAAGTCAGAAGGCATTTAGTCACACTAGAAATACTTCTGGGGCCAATGAGGAGCACTCCTGTCAGAATTATACTGCCTGAACCAAGAGAGAGCTGGAGAGTACACTAATTTCTATTGGTTCTGTCTGAGTGTAAGTGTGTGTGGCGGTGGTGAGGGAGGGTATTAATTCCACAGCATATATTGTCTGCTGCATATGTGTTAACTAGAGTCTAGAGGTCAGAGGGCCCACAGGCAAAGAGATGCACCAAGCATTTGGAAGTAAGGCTAGTGTGCACTGAAGTGCTAAGGTTTTGGGTGAGTGCTGCCAGCACATTGCACTGGACCTGGCAAATGAGAATATGGCTGCACCAGGAAAAGGCAGGCTGTTTCAATGCCAGGAAAGACATATGAAACTAAGAAAATAAAATAATTTCAAATTTGCACGTTTGAATAGTGATTGCATAATCATAATGGTTTTGCACATTGTTAATGACTCACTGAATATTTAGATTTTAGATGTGAATGGGGAATGTCGAAACTGTGATTTATTAGGAAACAAAAAGAGGGCAAGCATGCTACTAGACCAAATTACTTCATTGAATCTCACTCTTATCTTTAGGACTTAGTATCCCTATTTAAAGCAAGAAACACTGCGTCATAAAAAAAGCTAACTTTCAATTTTTACATATCTAGTGCATTATAAAGATGAGATTTTAATCACTGGATTTCCAATAGTGTGCAATATTTTACTTGGCATATGGTTAATAAAAAATGCACAGCAAAATGCTCAACATAAATAAATGAGAAGTTAAGAGACATTTTAAGATACGAACATTTTAATTAAAATACTTTCAATAAAAACATTATATTTTTAATATTCTCATTCATGTGTAATACTATTATATTCTCTTGAGCCATGGTGTTTTGAGATGTTAAGTTTTAACCATTTTTGTATCCAAATATCATTCGGGCTAGAATATCCTATTCTCAAGCTGGACTAGTCATTTAGGACTTTTTAAAAAAACGACTTTATATGCTGTCCAGTGGGAGCTGTCGCTCTCAAATATTTTATCTCTCTGAACACCTGCTTCAAAGGTTACACTTCCTCTCCAGCTTCTGTGAACAGCAAAATTTTATGTCCTAGAATATCAATTTGTCATGCACAAAATATGAAAACAAGATAGCGGAAATCTAATCTAGTTGTCTTGACCTAAGAAGTAGACCTCTTTCTGTCTCATGTGCCTCCTTAATTGAGTGTCTCCTCTCTCTTTCTCATTCATGTAATTTTTTCTTGATTATTTAGAAGGAACATCTGCACCTTGGATATTATGTGGATCTTGCTGTGTTGGTTTTCTTTATACCTATTATTAACACACTTGATGGTGTTAGAGCTTTAAATAGCAAATATTATCTTATATGTAGCAATGTCTACAGCTCAGAAACCTGAAAAATCATGCTTTAAAATAACATTTTAAATAATGTAATGATAATAAAAACATTACTATAGTTACTATTTTTCAAATACACACTGTGTGCCAGATACTGACCTATAGATTTATACACAAATTAGCTGATTTAATATTCTAAAAACCTTCATAATTTTGATATTATTGTCCTTATAAAAGATCAGTGGAATATCACAATTACTTTTGTTTACATGAACTTATTCTGTACAGTAGAAAAATATATTAAGATGATTAATTTCGAAGAGTGAAGTCCAACTTTAGCATACTAGTAGTGTAACGCTGTACTCTATTGGACAAACATGATGCCCATAACTCCATAATAGTAAAATAGAAGCATTTTTTTTTAAAGTGAGAAAAGATATATCATTTGCTAACCATCCACCATGTTCCAGGTTATTAACATAGGACAACTACCTGCTATCTTGATTGTCGTAAAAATCTTATAATGTCATTAGTATTATGTCCATGTTACAGAGAAGAATCTGAACTTCTGAAGATTTACATTAATAATTGAATAAGTTTTGCAAAGTTTTGTTTATAACTCTGGAAATTAAGAAAAAAATGGTAAATATCTTCAAAGACTTTGTTTAGTCCTCTATGGTAATTATTGACACTAGATGCAAATCTATATTTTTCAAATATGAGTAATAAAAATTTTAGGGTGACAGAAGATCACAAGTGAAACATACAGCTACTGAATAAATAAAGGTAGGATGGAAAAAAACGCTCATTCTATCTTAAAAGATAGTTGGAAGACAAAAGAGGAAGAAAGAAAGGGAGGAAAGAATAGATAAAAAGGGGGGGAAAGATCAAGAAGTTTTGCCAAATGAAACACATAAAATGAGATGGCATGAATTAGAAAAAATGACAACACATTAGTAGACTAGATGCTTAGGATTAAAACAAAACAAAACAAAATAAAAAACTATATGCTTTTTACAAGTACTGCATCTAGAAGTAAAGGTAAAAAAATAACAAATGGTAAAATATTAATAAAATAAAATAGCTCTTCAAAATGTAAGGAAAATTAATGAATCCAGCATCATAGTGTTTTCTTTTAATACCTTAAAAATGAACATATTTCATAGGTGGAAAGTAAATAAGAACATAGAATATGTGAACAATTTAAAATCTACATGACGTGTTCTTAATAACAAGACTGACACATATATTGTATAGTACATGTATAGAATATATTTATATATTGTATAGTATAAAATGTATACTAAAGACAAAATATACATTTTTTCAAGCATTTTTTAAATTGGCTAACTGTATTCAATATTGTCAATTAAAGATCCTGAGGTCCTAATTAGTTTCTAATAATAATATGAGTTAATATTAAAAGGAAAAATATTTAAAAATTCACATATTATACTGAGAAACTCTGAGACTGTTTCTAAGTACTAAATAACATTCTACAAATAATTTATTACATTTGTGTCTAAAAATTAGGAATATATTAAATGGAGTAGTGAAAACAACCCAAATATTTGTCATATGGGAGAGACTGAATAAATTATATCATATCTAGGGTATAGATATGAGATCTAATCTATAGAACACTATTTTACATGTCAAAAAAGTTAGCAAAGCATAAATGAACAGATTTAAAAATATCTCCAAAGTAAATATTTATAAATGTCACATAAATATTTAGAGTACAGTAATATTTATGTAAAACTTTTATACAGGAACATTCATTTTTTGTCATCTTTTTTTAAATTTAATATATAACACAGGTTTTTACTGTTTCCAGATTCTCTACTGGGTCTTCTTACACCACAGAGACAGCTGTTTCAGTATGGTCTTACAAAGGAAAGAGTTTTAACTCTTTAACTTGTCTTTATTTTTCAATGCCAGACTGGGAAGTTCTCATTCAAACAAATTTTAGGAATTCATCTTAATTAATGGTTAACGTTTTGAGCAAAACTTTCACTTGATCACCTGTAAAAGTTGACCACTAATAAAAACATTTTAGAGAATGTCTATTTATCTAGTTTTGGTTTTCAGCAAGTTATAAAGTTTCTTCACTTTTTAAAATTCAGTTTTACAATATTTACTCACACACACACACACACACATACTTGTAAAAGATGATATATAAATCACTTGCATAAAAATCATTTTTAAGTATTTAAAAATTTTTAGAGAGAGCATATATACTGACTTTCAATAGAATATTATTAATTTCATGGCAAGTATCTATGCAAATAAAAACATAATCGATTATTAAATATAATAAAGATTTAGAATATGACAAAGAATTTTGAATTTTTAAGCCTGAAGTGTTCTCTGCCCAATGGACTTAGTTCTTATTGAGGACAGTCATAAATAACTTTAAAATATTCCAATGTGATAAGAAAGAGCTGAGATTAGGTCATTGTGGAATTATAGTTCCCTTGCTTAATGATTGTAGAAAATTGCCTGGCAATCGAACAAAGAGAAAGAGGGCGATGTGGTGAATGCTGGCTAATTAAACCAATAATTGCTTCTTGTTGTGTACCCAGATAATGTGCCCCTGATAATTTTAAATGAAGTCTTGAAGCAGTCTTCTTGAATGAAATGCTGTGCTAGTTAAAGCTGTACTATATGCAATTCTCCTTGTACTTAGAAGGTGGCCTACTTCTCAGACTTCCTTGCAATGTTTGATGAAAAATAAATAAGTGGCATGGAAGACTTATCATATGAAATATATTTACATCAGGTAATATTTTTGTAATGTTTTTAATTCCTTATAACTTATTCATGTCATGAAATATGTTTAAATTTTTTGATTCATTGCTGTAAGATAAGAGATGTCACACGTAATTTTCTGAGAAGAGTTTTGAATATTTAAAAGTGTTGATCTCCAAAATACCACTATATTAACAATAAAATATTTTATATACTTGAACTTATGCTATTAAAAATTAGCAGTAAGATATTGAGATTTTTATATCATAATTATCTCGTAATTTAATATGTTTACCGTGCAAGATTATTTAAATTATTTTTGAAACCACATTATTCAACAATTCTGGTTTAGATATAGTAACTATTGTCCTCAGGAAAATAAATTCAAATTTGTACAAACTTTTATTATTTAATATTTGTATTTTATGACAAAGCTAGAGACTTGATTAATTTTTGTACATTGATTTTCTACATAATCTTTTTTTACATTTATAATACAACATTAATAATACCAACATTACTTTAAAAAATCTAGTATAAGGGAGAAACAGAGAATGATGGAGTCTTCTGAGTTATTGGATAGTATATACTGCAATTTTCAGAAATTCCAAATTTTGCCATGTCTTGGAAACCTTTATTATATCTGCTTAGGCAGCATCTCATGACTTTGATAACTCATCAATTTTCAACCAATTTTTTATGGTGAACTCAGAAAGGCTGGTTTTGGCATTTATAACCAAAATGTTTTACTTATATTCCATCTTTTATGAAGATAGTTCTCACATGAGATAAAGTGAGATGGTATAAGTATGTAATTGTGTACATATATTATTCTTTTAATCCAATATTTAATCCAAAGTTAATATTTCTCTAGTATCAGGGTCTTCTCTAAATAGTATCACATACTCATGGATGCAATTTTCTTAAAACTCCATGTGGAGTTGCTTCATAAAATGTTACAATTTTGTGCAATAAACATAATAAGTTGCTATTTGTGATTCAGCACCCCTAAATATCCGCACATGGGAACAATCTAATTGCAAATATTTCTAAACTGATATATTTTCTTCTTCTCTAAATAAATAATTTCAAAAACCTACATACATTTTTTGTTAACATGTAAACAAATTATACGATATATATTTTCAAACCAATTGAGGGGCATTTCTGGAAATGCAGGTCAAAGGCAGGGCTCATATCTTCCTGATACTTTAAACACCTTGTTTTTACAACTGTGCAATGCCTGACAAAGCTGCATGGATGTAAATACATGCTAAATGGTTTGGGGCCTTACTGTTTGGGTTGATCTTTATATTATTCCATATTTTATCCTGCCATATATAGATAATATAGAAAAAAGAAATGTTAAGAAGAATATAGAAATTTGGATTAAAAATGCATATATTTAATCTAAATAGAATTTAATTTATATACTTTAATTCTAAAAAGGCTTCAAAGGTTGGAAATATCTGAAAATTTGATGTTAAACAGAACAAAATTATTTTTAGAACTCTCCAGATACTAGACGATTTTACAATACTCTTGGTATAAAATTGGAATCACAAATAAAGGGAGCCCTGTCCCATTCTGAGGGTTTCCTTGTCATCTTGGTATTACCAATGTCTTTCATACACACAGGCATCTCCTGAGATCCTCCTGCAAACATAATTCTGTCAAAAAACAAAGCAATCTTCTGTGTCACAGTAAGTTCACCTGTATCTCAATAACATAGTCTACCAATGCAACCCATTTCAACATTAGCTAAAGTAACCAAAATAAACTTAGCTGCTTTTTACTCGCCAACCTTATTTGATGGGCTGTTGAATTTATAAAATTAACCATTACAATTCAAAAGATATGCTAAACCTATTAGAATAAAACATACACACACAAATACACACACATAAAAGCACACATAGATATTTGCTTCTGATTGCAAAATAGTAGAAAATAGTTATACCTAAAACCTGCATACATACTTTTTTACGTGTGTCTTTACAATTTTCTTAACAGATTATTATTTTTAAAAACCTATAATATTAAGTTATAGAAATCCAAAGTATTCTTATGCAATTAACCATGTCATTTTAATTTTAATGTAGACAGTGTATAAAGACTTTATAGTATCTAAGTTGTTATATATTCTATCTCTTTCTGACAAGAAAACTTACTGTTATGCCTCAACTATGTTTACATGGGACAACTACTTCTAAGCATGTTTTTTGAAACAACCTGTGAATGCTTGCTTAAAAAAAATAGATGCAACATTTTATAAAAGAGAGTAAGTGGCTCCCAACTAGCAAATAACATTTTTATACATTTAATTTCTTAGGAATCATGGGGTAATAACGCTGTAAAATAATTCAATACCATTCTAGTTTATATCTTGCATTTTAGAGATGCAGAAGATTGTAACATTGTAAAGTTATTTAAATATAATATCAACATGTCCTTACATTTTCTGGCTCAATTACATAATGTCATAATTTTATGTGCCTCCATAGATATATATATATCTTTCCATTTTATGCTAGCATTTCACTGGTCTAATCTAACCACAGATTGCATCTAAATGTTGTATACTCAGAACAGAACTGAAGACACAAGGTTCAGAATAACTCATTTATCTAGCAGTACCTTCAGTTCGGTTATTGAAAAGTAAGCCTTTCATAGTGATTTTCCCCAAGGGAAATTCTGGTAACCTATTTTTAACATAGTAATTATCCTAAAAATTATGCAAAGTATGTTAACAAATAGGTTATCATAAAAATTAATTTTTTTAAATGTGCAAAGCAACTGCAGTCTTTGAAATTGACATACACACATTTACAAGTTGTGAAATATAATTTCAGAGAGAAATACATTCAGTATGCTTGAATTGGCAGAAATTCATACAGCAAAAGACAATTTGGCCATGAAAAACTTACTCCTATTTGTTCTCTGTCTTTATAAAAATCTCTGATATAAAACCATCTGTTTAAAACTTGCAAAAATAGTCTTCCAATGCATGTAATTCTAAGCATCATGAATTACTTGAGTACTAAAAGTCTGAAGTGCTGTGCTGATATAGATAATTCTCGATGATGAATGAATATACATAAAGACAAAGCATGCCTGTTGTGAGTGAATAATTGTATATCATTAGTGTTTTATGTACAAATCATCCCACCCTCTCATTTCTACTCTAATGTACAATAATCAGTTGGGCTTATATCAGAATTGTGGGCTTCTAACAACAATAAGTATCATTCTCTTTGCAACACAAAATATGTTAATGCCAAGAAAAAATTTGAAAAACACAATCCCTGAGAAAATAAATTTCACTTAATACATTGTTCAGTTAAATATTTTTTCACATCAACAAAACATAGTAGATTAATAGTATAATCACAACAAATGACTCAAGAATAATAACTCTTTATTTTATTTTATTTATTTATTTTTGAGACAGAGTCTCGCTCTGTGTCGCAGACTGCAGTGCAGTGGCGCGATCTTGATCTCGGCTCACTGCAAGCTCCTCCTCCCAGATTCACACCGTTCTCCTGCCTCAGCCTCCCGAGTAGCTGGGACTGCAGGCGCCCGACACGACACCCGGCTAATTTTTTGTATTTTTAGTAGAGACGGGGTTTCAACATATTAGCCAGGATGGTCTCGATCTCCTGACCTCGTGATCTGCCTGCCTCGGCCTCCCAAAGTGCTGGGATTACAGGCGTGAGCCACCGTGCCCAGACAACTCTTTATTTTAAAAAGGAAAATTTTTATATTATATAAAAAATTAGCAAAAAAAAGTCAAAGTGCTTAGCAAAACTCTCTAAAGGCTGAAGTGCTTAGTAAAAATCTGTAAATAACTCACCTACATAATATCTACAAAATATATAACTAATAACTCACCTACATAGATGTTAGATGTTTGACACTTTGAACAATACACACAATAAGAATACAGATATTAGTAATTAGGGCTTCTCAAAAGCCTGAGCACCAGTTATAAATGCTCATGCTGAAAGCTAATCCATGTTACTTCAGAGAAAAAAAATTTCTGGGTCATATACTGTCATACTTTACTGAGAGGCAGAATGGCCTCATGGTGTCCTATGTGGCCACTGAGTTGAATCTTGGCTCTTCCATCTTCTAGTTGTGTGTTCTTGCCTAATTATCCAGGCTCTCCCTTCTTCACTGGAGAAATGGAGATTATATTCTATCATCTTTTAGGGCTATTGGATAAATTAAATGAGTTAATGTAAAAATGATCATTAGTCTTACTGTTATTTTATGCCCAAATATATAAAAATTGATCCATTTGTTTCTAGTGGTATACTATTAGACAGAAGGCCTTCTCTTGAATTTTCATGTGCCTCCCACCTACATCCTAGTATTACAACATATACTCTTCTCCTACTGGGGAAGTTGTGCATACTTGTATACATTTCCAACATGGTATAACTAAATCGTGACGGTACATGTGACCTCTTTAACTCTAATTAATTTGCAGCTGTGAAAATGTATTTAAATTTGGTTAAAAATTAAAATATGAATCATAAAAAACATGAACTATCTTTGCCAAGACAAAAAACATTATTTGAGTAACTTTTTTTTAAAAAGAAAGATTAATCCAAAATTCTGTCTTTGAGAAAGACACACAGACACACACCTGTGAGGAAAAATCAGTATGAAAAATGAGTATCAGAGAAAGTAAAATGTAATGCCACAAATAGTAAATGATCTAAAGACATTATTTTTAAAATTATAAAATGTATTTATTTATTTATTTATTTATTTATTTATTTATTTTTGAGACTGAGTCTCACTCTGTTGCCCAGGCTTGAGTGCAGTGACGTGATCTCGGCTCACTGGAACCTCTGCCTCCCAAGTTCAAGTGATTCTCCTGCTTCAGCTTCCCAAGTAGCTGGTATTACAGTCGCGCGCCACCATGCCCAGCTAACTTTTTCTTTCTTTTTTTTTTCTTTTTGTATTTTTAGTAGAGATGGGGTTTCACCATGTTGGCCGGGCTGGTCTTGAACTCCCGACCTCAGGTGATATGCCTGCCTCGGCCTCCCAAAGTGCTGGAATTACAGGCGTGAGCCACTGTGCCCGGCCTAAAATCTACCTTATACTATATACCATAATGATGATAAGTTATGCCCAAAACAAAGTAGAGAAAATCAAAAAGCAAAAGCAGGAATTTGGTTTAATTAAATAGATCTCATGAGTCTAATGCACTTGCCACAGAAACTCCCATTGAAATAGCAGAGAATATCTAAAAGGGAATAAATCAATATTATGACAGTGGAAAAAAATGAAAAGACCATATCAGTACTTCAGAATGTGATTCCCTATAAGATTAATAAAATATAAATCTTGTTATAAATAAACATGAATAGAATATCATGGCACAAAACCTTGCAGAAATTAAAAGAAAAATGTCCAATAAAATCCAGTAGAAATTCCGAATTCAGACCAAAATACACGTAAGCAAAATGAGCAGTCCTTCATGCAATAATTCTAGATAACTAATGGTCGAATCCTTAAGCCACTGCACTGACTGACTGCCTGTGTTTTGGTCTTAGATCTACCACTTTTATTATCAATAGCAAATTGAGTGTTGTACAGTGTACATATTCATATGTTGTTGAATATAATGTAAATGATTACAGCCTTTTTGGAGGGCATATTTCAATATCTTCTATGTTCAAAAATTCCCATATTTTGGCATAGCAATTCTGCTTCTAGAAATCTTTTCTAAAAATGAATTATGTACAAAAATATGAGCCCAATTAAGTACATTATGTTCCTTAATATACTCTGACTTACTAAGCAATTTAAAAAGAATGTGGTAAATATATATGTTGATGCAGAAGGGGTAAGATCTCCAAGCAATAGAGAATGATCAACTTAAGTCACAGGAAATTAAATTTAAGTGATACAGTGTGTAAAATTTTCTTAGTAAATGCAACATGAATAGGTATATTTACCAATCTAAAAAGTGATTCTCAGGAATGAGTTTACTTCTGTCCCTTAATCTTTAGAAGCAAGCATATTTATATGACATGTATAATTTATAGTATGTTATTTAAGGGACCTTGGTAAATTATTCTAATAATGGCTAGAAGAACAGACACTATATTAGCAAAGGTCACACTGCTTCTACCTAAAGCTGAAAGCTACTGACATCTCAGGAAATCACTAAATCTGGAAGTTGATATTTACAAAACTGCCCTGCCTCTGCAGTGATATGCACCAGCAAGAGTCTTTATTTATATCCTAACTCTCTTGCTCCACTTAACTCAGGTTTGGAAGCAAGTCTCTTCAAAGTCACATCTGAAACATAAACTGCTGTGGAGTGAGGGAAAGGCAGTTTTCAGCTTTGCAGCCTGTGCAGTCCATAAAGTCATTCTTCAAGGATATAGCAGAGAAAGTGAATGAATCATAACACATAATCCACTGCAAAAAAAATTATCTGAACATTATATGGATTTTGAAACTTGAATTTTTGATAGTTGCATTTTATTTTTATCTTATTCAAATATTAGTATTTACTATGTAAACATTAGTAAAGTTTAAATCATTCTTTGTTTTCAATATTGTTAAGCAGAAATAGTTTGGTTGAGTTTCCTGGGTTAATTAAAAAAACTAATCTCAACATGTTATAAATTAAATTGTTATTTTATTGTTAAAATATATGTATTTATATTAGAGAATATGATGTGATTGACTTCGTTACTCAGAATACTATAAAGCAGGTAATAAACAGTTTCTGAGGAGGCAGCATAAGTGAAAGTTGCTTTCTATAAGTCAATATGGAGGTCTCAGAATTTCTTATTATCCCCAATTACTTTTGAGACAAAATTAAGCCGTAAGACCAACAGAGTTTGTTTTCAACTATTAATTTTGTGACAATATTCAAACTTTCCATGAAAGTGTTTCTTAGACAAATACAACTTGCAATTCCCCACTTATTATTCGTTTCTTAATTCTTCATTAGAATCATTATAAGACCTATTAGTTATGCCTTCTAAATAATTTCCTTATTCAATTTCTGATGCTATCACTGGCAAATCTCTGGTGTTTAGAAGAACATCATGTTCAAATATGCACTCAACAAATGAGTAAGTATGCATACTTATATTAAACTTTTAAATAAATTCACATTTTAATTATATTTAAAAGAGAAATCAATACTTACATAGAGGAAACCTTAACAAAATTGAAAATTTGAAAATTCCACCATATGTAGGCATTCACACTGGTTTCTCACTTGTTCACTCCTTCCAATTTCAATGCAATTGATTTAATTTTTGCCTAATTAAGTGAAGTTATCAATTTCCTTACCTTAAGTAGCAGACAGTGACATCATGGTTAGAAATGTCAGCTTTGGAATCTAAATATCTGTGCTTAAAAATAGATCAATGGAACAGAACAGAGGCCTCAGAAATAACACCACACATCTGCAACCATCTGATCTTTGACAAACCTGACAAAACCTGACAAAAACAAGCAATGGGAAAAGGATTCCCTATTTAATAAATGGTGTTGGGAAAACTGGCTAGCCATATGCAGAAAACTGAAACTGGACCCCTTCCTTACACCTTATACAAAAATTAACTCAAAATGGATTAAAGATTTAAACATAAGACTGAAAGACATAAAAATCCTAGAAGAAAACCTAGGCAATACCATTCAGTACATAGGCATGGGCAAAGACTTCATGACTAAAACACCAAAAGCAATGGCAACAAAAGCCAAAATTGACAAATGGGATCTAATTAAACTAAAGAGCTCTATCAATCTGACAAAAGGCTAACATCAAGAATCTACAAAGAACTTAAACAAATTTACAACAAAAAAAGAAAAAAAAACCCATCAAAAAGTGGGCAAAGGATATGAACAGACATTTCTCAAAAGAAGACATTTATGGCTGGGCGCAGTGGCTCATGCCTGTAATCCCAGCACTTTGGGAGGTGGAGGCAGGCAGATCACGAGGTCAAGAGACCGAGACCATCCTGACCAACATGGTGAAACCCCGTCTCCACTAAAATACAAAAAGATTAGCTGGGCATGGCAGTGCGTGCCTGCAGTCCCAGGTACTCGGAAGGCTGAGGCAGGGGAATCGCTTGAACCCGGGAGGCGGAGATTGCAGTGAGCCGAGATCATACCACTGCATTCCAGGCTGGCAACAGAGCAAGACTCCGTCCACAAAAAAAGAAAAAGAAAAAGAAAAGATATTTATGCAGCTAACAAACATATTTAAAAAAAGCTCATCATCACTGGTCATTAGAGAAATGCAAAGTAAAACCACAATAAACCACAGTGAGATAACATTTCACGCCAGTTAGAATGATGATCATTAAAAGGTAGGAAACAACAGATGCTGGAAAGGATGTGAAGAAATAGGAACACTTTCACACTGTTGGTGAGAGTGTAAATTAGTTCAACCATTGTGGAAGACAGTGTGGTGATTCCTCAAGGATGTAGAACTAGAAATACCATTTGACCCAGCAATCCCATTAATGGGTATATACCCAAAGGATTATAAATCAAAGACACATGCACAGGTATGTTTATTGTGGCACTATTCATAATAGCAAAGACTTGGAACCAACCCAAATGCCCATCAATGATAGACTGGATAGAGAAAATGTGACATATATACACCATGGAATACTATGCAGCCATAAAAAAGGATGAGTTCATGTCCTTTGCACGGACATGGATGAAGCTGGAAACCATCATTCTCAGAAAACTAACACAAGAACAGAAAACCAAATATTGCATGTTCTCACTCATAAGTGGGAGTTGAACAATGAGAACACATGGACACAGGGAGTGGAACATCACACACCGGGGCCTCTTTAGGGGTGGGGGAGTAGGGGTGGGATAGCATTAGGAGAAATACCTAATGTAGATGATGGGTTGATGGGTGCAGCAAACCACCATGGCACATGTCACATGTATACCTATGTAACAAAACTTCACCTTCTGCACATGTATCCCAGAACTTAAAGTATAATTTTTAAAAAAATCATTTCCCAAAGAACAATGAATAAGGGAAACCCTCTAAGATGTTGGTAATTACAAAAGCAGTAAAGGAAATCACATGTGATGTGCTTGGATCCTTTCTAGCTTCCACTGACTTTCTAAATGTTTTTAAATTTCTACCCTTATCATCCTTCTTTTAATTTTTAAAATTGTGGTAAAATATACCTAATATAAAAGTTACCATTTCAATCCTTAAAATAAAACAAAAACAAAACAAAAAAAATGGCTCTCAGGCCAGGCGCGATGGCTCATGCCTATAATCCTAGTACTTCAGGAGTCACAGGCAGGAAGATTGCTTGAGCTCAGTGGTGTGAGACTAGCCTGGGCAACACAATGAGACCCCATCTCTACAAAAAATAAAATAATTAGCCAGGCATGATGGCACACACCTGTGGTCCCAGCTACTCTGGAGGTTGAGGTGGGAGGATCACTTGAGCCCAAGATGTTAAGGCTACAGTGAGCCGTGATTGCACCCACTGCACTCCACCCTTGCCAGCAGAGCAAGACCCAATCTCAAAAAAAAAAAAAAAAAAAAAAAAAAATCCGTGTTGGGAAAGTTAATATACATATATGTGTGTCAGCTTCCTAATCTCCAAAGTAAGGATGTTGATTACAGTACTGAAGGGGGCCTGCCCCTCCACAGCTGCGGGTATTTCTCGTCAGGTGGGACAAGAAACTGAGAAAATGAGAAAAGAAATAAGACACAGAGACAAAGTATAGAGAAAGAACGGTGGGCCCAGGGGACCGGCACACTCAGCATGTGAGGACCTGCACCGGCGCCGGTCTCCGAGTTCCCTCAGTATGTATTGATTACTATTTTCACTATCTCGGCAGGGGGAGTGCGGCAGGAGAACAGGGTGAACAGGGTGATGGTGGGGAGAAGGTCAGCAGCAAAACGTGTGAGTAATGGAATCTGCGTCATAAATAAGTTCAAGGGAAGGTACTGTGCCCGGATGTGCACGTAGGCTAGATTTATGTTTCTCTTTACCCAAATATCTCAGTGTAGCAAAAAGTAACAGAGCAGTATTGCTGCCACCATATCTCGCCTCCAGCCACAGGGCGGTTTTCTCCTGTCTCAAAATAGAACGAATAGTCGGCTTTACACCGAGACATTCCGTTCCCAGGGACATGCGGGAAACAGAAGCCTTCCTCTTAACCGCAAAGAGGCCTTCCTCTTTTACGAATCCTCCTCAGCACAGACCCTTTACAGGTGTCAGGCTGGGGGACGGTCTTTCCCTTCCCACGAGGCCATATCTCAGGCTGTCTCAGTAGGGGGGAACCTCGGACAATATGCAGGCTTTCTTGGGCAGAGGTCCCTGCGGCATCGTGCCCCTGGTTCATAGAGAATGGGGAATGGCGATGACTTTTACCAAGCATACTGCCTGTAAACATATTGTTAACAAGGCACATTCTGCACAGCCCTAAGTGCCTTAAACCTTGATTCAATGCAGCACATGTTTCTGTGAGCACAGGGTTGGGGCTAAAGTTACAGATTAATAGCATCTCAAAGCAGAAACAATTTTTCTCTGTACAGATCAAAATGGAGTTTCTTATGTCTTCCTTTTCTACATAGACACAGTAACAATCTGATCTCTCTTTCTTTTCCCCACACAGTATTTATTTCAAGTTCTGATGTTAGGATTAATTGAGTTTATATGCGCGTAGTACTTTGAACAGTGTATGTAGCAAGCTCTCAACTTATGTTAACTTTTATTAGTGAAAAAGAGATAAAAGGCGATAATAAAATTTCTTGTACTTTAGTGTGGCTGAGAGGTGATAAAGTTGCCAAATATTAAAAGTTTTCAATTTTAAAATGGAGTCATAATTTTATTTTACAAAAAAAAAATAGAATGCTCCAAAATTTCTGACATTTTCCATGTTAGAAACTTTATCAATATTATGCTACCTAGCAGATATTTTCAAATAAAAATAATTACAAAATTAATTCCTTCAAAGAAATGTTGATATTTTAACAAAATAAGTAAAAAACTTTTTAAAAGAAATTAACCCTAGGAAAATAATATTTTGAAAATGGATGTTCACTGGTCATTGTTATTTGACTTGCGTTACAGAAAAAGAACTCACACATAAAAATGCTTCTCTTTTGCCATAAAAAAAATATGAACCAACATCACTTTACCTATCTAAAAATCGATTAGGCATTCTTGCATGTCAATGAGGGTTAATTATTTTTATATTCTAATTTTATTTAAATAATACATTCTAGTAGGGTTGATAAAAATAAATAGCATTCATATATTTTGTTCATAAAGTCCTCACTCAAAATGCTTGCAGAATTGCACACCATTTACCCTAGCTTAGCTATATTGCCAATACATTTTTCATGAGTAGATTTAGATATGACAATACATGGTGCATCAGTGTCCAGTAAACCAAATATAAGTTTTTCAGCACCGCCAAGCTGTTTACCCATATCAAAGCAAACAGTCTTATTTCTCCTGCCAGGAGTTGTGCCAAGAGACCATGACACGCGTGACATTTGTAGTCATAATCGTCTACGTTACTTCACACTATGGTAATCAGCACTGATTCTGAGGGACTTGAAAATTCATCAGTTATGTAATCATTAACATTTTCTTAATTCATCAAGGCTAGAATAAGTTGAGTGACGCTGTTTTTATCCTCGTATAGGATGAGGAGTTTCATGGTAGCTATACTACCTAATTTCTTATAATAATCCATTAAGATATTGAGAACTACTTACTCCATATTTCTCAAGCTATTTTTAACTAATTATTTAAGTACTTCTTGCTACCGTTTTAATTGCCCTGAGGTTTTGTTAGTTTTTTTTTCTGTTTTTCCCTTTTTATTGTTTCCTTTTTTTTCTCAGAAATTCTAATCTTTTTACAATCATGCAATTTCATTAAGGTTTCTTGGTGAAGAGATTCATGACAAACTTTCTCACATTATCTTACCTCCTCTCAAATAATAAAGTCACAAAATGAGCCTGAGGAATTGGAACACCATTTATCACATCAATCATTACTTGGATCAAGGGCACAGAGTTTGTAGAAACTTGAGTATCATTATGTAAACAAACCACAGTTGTTGCATTTTCAACATTTTAGCAGCCTTAATATTCCATTTAATGTCTGAAGGCAGAGTAGAACAATTGTCTTGTGTCCATATTGGGAATTGATGCATCTGTTCACATTTCTGCAGAAGATGCTGTTATATGAAGATCTTCAGTAAGACCAAACATGGCCTTCCATTTGGAAGTATCTAAAGCAGGAATAATAGCTACTTGTTTATTTGTCAATAAAATCAACTTTAATTGTGGCTAGCCATGTTGTCAACACCAGTTTATAAATGGAGTTATCTCTTAACTGAATATCTTTTTGCTTTTGCTTTCTATTTAAGGAGTCTCTTGACTTCCTCTCCTTGAGACATGTATTATTTTTCTATGATTAGTGATAAGATGGGGACATCATTTCAACCAAAACAGGTATCTGCCCAACTCCCATATGATGTTATACCCCTGCATGTACAGATGGGTCACTGACTGTGATTGCAATCTGGACGCCTTCGGCTACTTCTTTTTTTTCTAATCACCAAAGTGGGTAAAAGCTGCCAAAGTATCACATTGTTGACTGACTTGCCCTTGTTCAAATTTCTTTTGTAATCCTTTAGTAATTTCTTCCATGCATCTACCAACTGTATGTCTTGTCTTGTCTTTTCTCTTTTCTTTTTTCTCCTCTCCTCTCCTCTCCTCTCCCCTCCCCTCCCCACCCCCCTCCCCTTCCCTCCCCTCCTCTCCTCTCTTCTCCTCTCCTCTTCTCTTCTTTTCTTTTTTTTTCTTTTTCTCTTGAGACAGAGTCTTGTTCTATCCACAGCCTGGAGTGCAGCGAAGAGATCTCTGCTCACTGCAATCTCCGCCTCCCAGGTTCCAGAGATTCTCATGACTCAGTCTCCTGAGTAGCTGGGATTATAGGCCCACCCCACCACAGCTGGCTAATTTTTGTATTTTTTGGTAGAGATGGGATTTTGCCATGTGGGCCAGGTTGTACTCAAACTCTTGGTTTCAAGTGATCAGCCCTCTTTGGCATCCCAAAGTGCTGGGATCACAGGCATGAACCACCACGCTTGGCCTCTGTGTCCTATTATTAAGCTTTTCCTGTCAGCAGTAGTCAAAGCTCTTGAGCAATCTCACACCAGAGATGGCCAGGAACCCATCCTGACAAAAAATGGTTCCCCCTTCCTCATCCTGCTCTCTCCCAAATCAAGTCTAAATTATAATTTAAATTATAGATTTAAGATTTGTTTCAATTTTTCTACTTACATTGCCAATGACATCAATTACAAAATTGCAAGAATTCATGACTCACAGGTTATGCTTGCATGTAATTCTATGAAAGTAAAAGATGTAGCACAACAAGGGGAAGAAAGCACATAGGAAGTTCTGAGTACTTTCAACGGTAGACCTGCCCACATATTCCTGCCTTGAATATTCCCATATTCCACAGGATAGTCTTTGTCTTTAGATTATGAACTACTATTGAAAGTGAGAAGTATCTTTATTTCAAGTGAGTCTGGGCAAAATTTTGCACAGGATTTATCATATCCCATTGGTTACATAGCTAAAACTAGGTTACATAACTGTTTAAGCTTGCTGTAAACCAGTCAATACATCCTTAAACAGTATAGACAGCTAGCCCTAATTGCCTTTCAGTTTCCAGCTTTAAACAGCACAATGCAAATTCCAAATTAGTACCTCCCATCCTTATTTTGACCAAGGGTCATACTCGATTTCCAGATAGTTATGGAGCTATCTCAGTTCAGCTGTAAGATAACCTTGTTTTACACATAGTCGAATACAAAATACGAGGGAGTTATTTTTCCTTCCAAAATTCATACCCACTAATTTGTAGTTTGTTACATATAGTATTGTTTTGCATTGTTAAATTTAATATATTTACTTCGTGCTAGTTATCCATAATTCAGTGATTTTTTTCCTATAGCTTGATTCTACACATTGAATATAAATAAACAATATTTAAATTTGATTATTACTATATTATAAGATGTAATCAAATGCAGTAATATTATTGCTCAAAGGAGACTTTACCAAGAATCAAGATCTTGCTAATTTTTCTTTACTTAATCTGGTAATAATCACCTAAAGTAATTTCTTATATCCTATATTGTCCTCTTCCTTCAATTGCTTTTTTCCATTTTGTTGAAATAATTTAAATATTTTTGCAATAGGATATATATAGATATCCAAATGTTTTAATAGCCAATATGTCTCATAGCCTCTCTTACTTTTAAGCTTAGTATGTTTTTCTTTTCTTTTCAGATTTAAAACTACTATTTAATTAAATTTCAGAATATAGTGTTGTAGATGAGAAGGCTGAAATCAGTCTAACAGTTTTCTTGTATAGATAAGCCAGATTTTCTCATATTGTTTAAATTTTTCTTTTCCTCAAGAAGGGTTTGAGGATGCTTGGGAATATTACATAGTTTGGAATAGATGTGGATCCAATTTCAATCACAACTCTTGGATCCCTGGGGCGATTCAAATCCTTAGACATTCTGATCCAAGTTCTGTAATGAAAGACTTATTGCAATAATGTCTGTTGGACCATCCCTGTCTTCGTATTAATCTATTGACTGCAAGGTTATAATTTCTTAGACCACTTAAATCAGCAGAATGAAGCATATTTTAAAATAAAAAAAAATTATACTCACAGAAATTATTGTAACTGTTATTACAGAGAATATTATTGCCTGAAAAGCATAGGAATTCAAATTACTATAAAGGTTTTTCACAGAAAATTATGTTAGCTACAATTCACATTGTGAAATATAATTATAGTATAATCTGTAATATGTTAATATACTTAAATTATCTCTAAGTTTGTAGTTATAAAAACTTATAACAAGGTCATAAATTCTATCCAATAATATAAAATAGGAAATACGACAAAAATAATTATAAAATGGTGATGAGTAGAGGAGTGGTTTTCTAAGTGATACAAAAGTTCCTGTAGAAAAACACAAGTATGAACATTAGATCCATTAAAATCTGATCAATAATTTGTTTTCAGTAATGTGTTGCTAACATCTATTTTCTCTGACCACGTATTCATGTTTTTTCCCACAATAAAGCAATAATAGTTGGGGAGTACATACTATCTGTAAGTCCCATATTAATGTCATATTATTTCTCCTTTACGTTGCAATTTAGTGAAATAAATTGTACTTCAGATTCGCCAAGGTCAGATAGTTTTGGGTTGGACGCTCAGCATTCCTACGAAAAGCTTAGCACCTTGATCTACTTTAATCTTACGAAAACTTGGGTTTGACATCTTCAAAATGAGGAAAATGATACCCTTACTGCTGTGTTGCAATGACATAATGAAATGCCCCCTATAAAATGTTTGGCATTTAGTGGTTGCTCAATAAATGTCACTTCCCCAATTTCCTTTTGCTTGCTTCCTTTCTATATGTTCTGGGCTAATCAAAAATAAAATTTGACTATCTTCTCTCTAATGACATTTTTTATTGTTTGTGAGTTTACTTATTTTCATTTCTTTTTCTCTAGTAAACATATTTTGTTTTATTTTGTGAAAGAGGCATATATGTCCTAAGGTTATTAAATTAAGCTGGAGATTTATGTCTCTAGTGGCTGAGATGGTGAGTGAGCATAACTGTAGAAAGCTCCCCAAAGATGGTGAGCACTGAGATGAAGCAGACACGTAAAGATGTTGTTTGGCAAATAGAATAGTGAGATGCTATTAGGATGTGTGTTAATAAAATGTCTGCATAGCCTCAATGTTCTCACTTATTAATTATTCAAGGAATCCATGAAATAAAAATGCTAAATTGACAAGCCACAACATTAGTACTCTAATACAGAATAGCATGCTAAAGATTTAAATTATAGCACTTTTTGTCTCCATATAAACAACACTATTAAACTGAAAAAAAAAACTTTAGCTTCTCCTAGGTTTAGCTCTTTCAACTGAAAACAGTTTAACACTTCCTCATCCTTTTTGATATGTTACTTTCATCTTTTTTCTCTGCAAAGTAGAAATTTTATTTAATATTGTTTATTTTAAATGTATATTATGAGGAAAGATTACGTAATTATTTTTAAAAGATGTTAGATATAACAGGAGCAGACATTCATAAATATATACGATGTACTGGTGATTTTATACATAATTTTTCCTGAGAAGTAGGTGTTATTAACCCAGTTTTAATATGAGAGAAGGGATGCTTCAGTTTAAGTGACTTCCTCAAAGCCACATAGTTGATGAGTGGTGTAGGAGACACAAAGTAGGCCAGATGATTGCCTGGTTTTAATTATTTCTAGTTAAATCGTCTGTTGATAGTGGGCTTGATAGCTCTGGAAGATATGGACCTCGTTTGACTTTCAGATATAGCCAGAAGAAAAATATGTTAAATGGGAATGAAGATGAATATACATTTAGTATGTTCTAAATGATATAATATTATAGCATGCTAATTTTGTAACTATATTATAAAAGTCTCTTTAGTCATGACTCTATGAATGAAAGAAATATATTGCTGAAATTTTAATTTCTTTTTTATTTACTAATAAATATGACTATAGGCTTTCCAATATTTAACTCTGAACTTAATATTTCAACTTGGATATCAAATATAGATTACAACTTAATATATCCAAAGAATAAATGTTAATTTATTTCTCTGAAAATCTACTTTTCTTTTAGTTTTTCCCACCTCAGTACATTTCACTATTTATCTAGAATGTAGACCTCAAATACAATCCACTTTTGACTTTCCCACTAACTCAGCATGTTCCATTAACTCTAAATACCTAAAGACAATCACATCTCATCACTATCTCACTTTCAACATTGTAGAGGCAGACACTGTCACATTTTTTTACTTGGGGTTGTTTAAGTTACTTCTGCCTAGTTTTGTTTTTGTTTTTGTTTTTTTTTCTACCACCTGCAGTGGGTTGAATAGTATCCTCCAAAATTTCATGTCCATCTAGACACTCAGAATGTGACCTTATTTGGAAATAGCGTCTTTCTTTGCATATGCAATTGGTTAAGGATCTCAAAATTAAATCCTCCTGAATTTAGTTAGGGTAAAATCTGAATCCAACAAAATTATTGTTTCTTTTTTCATTTATTTATTTTTTTTCATACTTCAATATAATTTAAACTCCATCAAGAAGGAACTCTTCCTATTTTGTCTACCATTGTATGCACAATGATCAAAAGAGTGGTACCTAGGAGGTGGTCAATACAATTGATGGTTAATTGACTGAAGTAGTTAGCTTCAGTCACAGTAAGTATAGAAAGAGGGCATAACCTTGATAAGCTGGACTGAGGCACGTGGGAACTCTGAAAACGAATCCTTACTGACATCAACTGACATTCTAAAAAAGAAAAGAATATGCCGTTTAATTATATTCATTATTTCTTTGTCTTACAGTCTCAGATTTGTCATTGATATACTAACACCAGAATAATGAACCCAAGGCAAACCAAAAACAAAGCTCATTTAAGATAGTAGTGCAACACATACAAATATCCTGGAAGACTTTAAAATTTCATATGCCCCATGGTGTTTTGGGTAGGTAATAACAGTTATCAGTAGCAGTTGCCCAGAATGCAAAGATTCGCAGCAATATCAACTAAGTTCAGTGAATGTTAATGCAAAATAAGTATTTTAAAAAGATGCAATAGTACTTTGTTTTTATATTTTCTAAATCAATAGGAGCAAGAAAGAAAGAAGGCATAAATTGGAGACTTTTCTAAGGTGGTATTGACCTTTATGCCATTAGGTCACTTTGAAGGGCGTTCAAATTCCTTTTGGTTACCATGACATATATTAGATGTCACTTTTAGAAACTTTGTCAAAGGATCAAGGTGATTCCTTTCTGTTGGCAAAGCCTTATCAAATTAACTTGGCATTATATAAAGTATGATGTGGATATCCATAACATAATGAAACAGGTATCAGTCAGAGGAGTTTTCTCTAGATTTTGACAAGCCTCTTTGATTTTCTACTAAATACAATATTAAAAATTAGTCAAATATTACCTACAGTTTGTTTTTATTTGTTTGTTTTAATTTGAAAAATCTCAGTAGTGAATGAAAAACCCTTTCCCACATCCTGGATTGGGGAAGGAAGAAAGAATAGATTTTGCTTACTGTCACTCTATATGCATGGGATTTAAAAGATCAAAGTGAGAAAATATGACACTGTCCTTTATATGCAAGATGATCGAAAACTATATTTGAATGAATTTTTTCTCATTTAGGACACAAATCATTACTTTGTCGTTTCCCCAGCTGAGCCTTATGAATAACGAAGTATGTATATTTTCCCCTCCCAGAGAGAATAAAACATAAAGTTGTTTAAGTACATTATGCACTTCTACTTTGTTCCGTTGTGGTGATTTATATAAATCATCTCTTGTGACAATATGGTAAAAATCTTGTAGTGATAAGACTGAGAAAGACTCTGATAGCCTATCCCCCATGCATCTTCCCAGGAGAAGGAAAATCTTTAACAATGGCAATGTGGAAAAGCCTTGGATTCAGGGAGGATTGTCTATGAATAAACAAATACTTGCTGTCTACAAGTACAATTCCTAGCAACATCAAATAACTGAGATCATCATGTGGTTTCCAAGGAATTAAGCAAAGTGAAAGCCATTAACACTTAAGCCCCTTGCTCTACCCTGAATTTCCTACTCAGTCATATTGAGCCAGCATCCCGCTATCTATCAGAAAATATCCTGCATCCTTCTCTATCCCCCATAAATGTGATTTAGCTCCTCACTATCCACAAATATATTTTTAAATAGTCTACATTTGTGATGCTTTCTTCTATTCTTTTTGTGATTTCTACCAATCAATGCAATTTTAGCCAAAGTTACTTTTTATAGAAAATTCTCTCATCATCAAAGACATTTTGCAAAATTAAACTTTGTATGTTCTCATCCTTTTATACTTACTTGCATCATTTTATCTCTATCAAATGCCCTTTCCTTGTTGAAACTGTTCCCTTTTTAGTTCTCTTTTCCATTTTGTGCTAATTGCTTTCATCTTCTTTCTCTGATGAAATTGTCTTACTAAACATGTTCCTTATCTTCTGCTTGTTTCTTAAATTTTGCTTACATTTTGTACTTATAAATTTTTTCTCCAGTGATCAGCTTTCTGATAGTCATTTCTTATTTATACTAACTAGATTACAAATGTTCATCTTTTATCCTTCATTTCATAAACATAATTTATGAATAGGCCTGTGATCCATGCCCACACAAAAATCAATTTCAAGCTTCCTATTGGAAGAATAATCTCTGTTATATTTTTATTATTATTTCAAAGTGTTAAGGGCAAAACATAAAGATAATTTTTGTGAATACAGATAGGTTAATAGACAGAAATTTATATTATTTTATGTAAATTTATAAATGTAATACCTACATATTTCTTGATTGTTCTTCATTTTGACAAATCCCATAAGGTAGACATAACTAGTTGCCAAGGAGTACAGAAAGCCGAGGGTGCAAATAAAATTATTTAAATAAAGAACCACAGAATTTCCACTGAATAAGAAAAGAAAAAAATGACATAGGGAGGGTGATGGAGAGTTTTTAAAAACATGAGAAGGTCAGTTGTTTTTAATGTCACATTGAATGTGGAATAATTGAAGGTATAGGATTAGTGAAGGGAGAGAGGTGGGAATTAAAGACGATGGTCTGGGAGTGAAGCATTGGCAGGTGACAGCCTACAGGAAACAGACTCAGCTCTCAGTGCCAACAGAGAGAGCAGAGGATGGGGCCCTTGATCAAGAAACTTACCTGCCATCAGAGGTATAAGAAGCATATTCTCATGTTCTCCACATCTGGTAAAATCTCTTAGATTAATTTCTAGTATACAACCTTATAGAGATCTCCATCTCCATTCAGTATCAAAGAACAAGAAAATTCATATGGAACAAATAGCCTTAAAATATCGAAATAAATAAATCTGAACTTTGTAAATGCTGAAGTTCCACCTTGTTTGCATTTTACTCTTATGTGTTTCCTAGACTTCTACTGTGTGCAGGTCTTTTGTGCAGAACTATTTTGAGGAACTCTTTGAAATTCCCTGGATATTCCTGTCTGGAAAAAAAACAATGTAAATTGGCCCAAGTTGTGTCAACATGATAGAAAATTGTGGAGGCAGGTACGCCTTTGCATTTGGACAGTCTTTCACTTAAAAGAAATAAAGTTTATATTCAAAACGAGTATACAGTACACAGGACTTTAAAAATTATTTATATTCCAGAACTTTGCCTTTCCTGATTTAAAATACATTGTAAATAGGTAAAACATCATTCGAAGTGATTGTAACTTAATGGAGTTAAATTTCCAAAAATATAAAGAGTACAATTTTTAATTCTCTGGTTCATGAGCGTACTTTCCATCTGCCTTCATTGTGTCGACTTGGAAATACTATAAAATTTGATTCGTTGTTGTGTTGAATTAACAGTTAGAAATTATTCTCTTTAAAAATACAAATTTACTAAAAAGGAAAAATTACTACCTCAATAGGGGAAGGCAAGAAAAGAAACACTTGCTAATTTTTTTTTTGTACGAATGTATGTGACCTGAATTTATAACTTTTACTGAGTAGCTAAAAGTAGCTCTGCCTCTGGGAATAACTATTATGTACCTTAGCAATGCTATTCACCCATTAAGAGTCTTAGAGACCTTGAAACAGACTGCTTATTCCACAGTGGCTATATTTAACTAGCTTCTGGAGAACACACTATACAATTTTTGTAAGAGTATCTGATGTGTGCCTATATGATAAGCTAGCAAGATACGAGGCAGCTTTTTAAATCCCACAGTAATTCATTTAAGAATGATAAAAGATAATTCAAAGAAAAAGATCATATTTTGAAATTTCACTCAACTAAAATATCATATAAAGTATTTACCTTACAGAATAATATTTAGGTTGTATTATGCAGACTTATTATAGCCTATACAAATTAGTGATTTAACTTGGAAAATGATTAAGTCTCATGTGTGTAGAATATAATCTTGCAAAAAATTTTGAAATAATTAGTTATAAGCTCCTTCTATCTTTGCAGAATGTGAATGAATTGGTTATCCTTTAAATCTCTTTTTTTTTTTTTTACATTATACTTTCAGTTCTGGGATACACGTGCAGAACGTGCAGGTTTGTTACATAGGTATACACGTGCCATCGTGGTTTGCTGCACTCATCAACTCGTCATCTACATTAGTTATTTCTCCTACTGCTATCCCTCCCCTAGCCCTCCACGCCCCAACAGGACCCAGTGTGTGATAGTCCCCTCCCTGTGTCCATGTGTTCTCATTGTTCACCTCCCACTTATGAGTGAGAACATGTGGTGTTTGGTTTTCTGTTCCTGTGTTAGTTTGCTGAGAATGATGATTTCCAGCTTCATCCACGTCCCTACAAAGGACATGAACTCATCCTGTTTTATGGCTGCATAGTATTCCATGGTGTATATGTGTCACATTTTCTTTATCCAGCCTATCATTTATGGGCATTTGGGTTGGTTCCAATCTTTGCTATTGTGGACAGTGCTGCAATAAACATATGTGTGCAAGTGTCTTTATAGTAGAATGATTTATAATCCTTTGGCTATATACCCATTGATGGGATTGCTGGGTCAAGTGGTATTTCTGGTTCTAAATACTTGAGGAGTCGCCACACTGTCTTCCACAATGGTTGAACAAATTTACATTCCCACCAACAGTGTAAAAGTGTTCCTATTTCTCTACATCCTCTCCAGCATCTGTTGTTTCCTGACTTTTTAATTTCCATTTGCTTGTGTCTTCTCTTATTTCCTGAAGCAGTGATTTGCAGTTCTCCTTGAAGAGGTCCTTCACATCCCTTGTAAATTGTATTCCGAGGTATTGTATTCTCTTTGTAGCAATTGTGAATGGGAGTTCACTCATGATTTAGCTCTCTGTTTTTCTATTATTGGTGTGTAGGAAAGCTTGTGTTTTCTCACATTGATTTTGTATCCTGACACTGCTGAAGTTGCCTATCAGCTTAAGGAGATTTTGGGCTGAGACGATGGCGTTTTCTAAATATACAATCATATCATCTGCAAACAGAGACAATTTGACTTCCTCTCTTCCTATTTGAATACCCTTTATTTATTTCTCTTGCCTGACTGCCCTGGCCAGAACTTCCAACACTATGTTGAATAAAAGTGGTGAGAGAGGGCATCCGTGTCTTGTGCCGGTTTTCAAATGAAATGCTTCCAGCTTTTGCCCATTCAGTATGATATTGGCTGTGGATTTGTCATAAATACCTCTATTATTTTGAGATACATCCCATCAATACCTAGTTTATTGAGAGTTTTTAGCATGAACGGGTGTTGAATTTTATCGGAGGGCTTTTCTGCATCTATTGAGATAATCATGTGGTTTTTGTCATTGGTTCTGTTTATGTGATTGATTACATTTATCGATTTGCGTATGTTGAACCAGGCTTGCATCCCAGGGATGAAGCTGACTTGATCGTGATGGATAAGCTTTTTGATGTGCCGCTGAATTTGGTTTGCCAGTATTTTATTGAGGATTTTCGCATTGATATTCATCAGGGATATTGGCCTGAAATTTTCTTTTTTGTTGTTGTGTCTCTGCCGGGTTTTGGTATCAGGATGATGCTGGCCTCATAAAATGAGTTACGGAGGAGTCCCTCTTTCTCTATTGTTTGGAATAGTTTCAGAAAGAATGGTACCAGCTCCTCTTTGTAGCTCTGCTAGAATTAGGCTGTGAATCCGTCTGGTCCTGGGATTTTTTTGGTTGGTAGTCTGTTAATTACTGTCTCAATTTCAGACTTGTTATTTATCTATTCATGGATTCGACTTCTTCCTGGTTTAGTCTTGGGAGGGTGTGTGTTTCTTCTAGATTTTCTAGTTTATTTGTGTAGAGGTGTTTATAGTATTCTCTGTTGGTATTTTGTATTTCTGTGGGATCGGTGGTGATATCCTCTTTATCATTTTTTATTATGTCTATTTGATTCTTCTCTCTTTTCTTCTTTATTATTCTGGCTAGCGGTCTATCTATTTTGTTAATCTTTTCAAAAAACCAGCTCCTGGATTCATTGAATTTTTGAAGGGTTTTTCATCTCTCTATCTCCTTCAATTCTGCTCTGATCTTAGTTATTTATTGTCTTCTGCTAGCTTTTGAATTTGTTTGCTCTTGCTTCTCTGGTTCTTTTAATTGTGATGTTAGGGTATCTACTTTAGATCTTTCGTGCTTTCTCTTGTGGGCATTTAGTGCTATAAATTTCCCCCTAAACACTGCTTTAGCTGTGTCCCAGAGATTCTGGTACGTTGTGTGTTTGTTCTCATTGGTTTCAAAGAAGTTATTTATTTATAGATGCTAATTTTCTTCTATTGAAACCAATACCTAATCCTTGATGTTCACTTACATGTTATTCTCATTTCCGTCATCTCTATAGTGAAGTACTTAACATGCAACAGTATTTGTCCTGAAACAAATACCAAATCTTCAAGAATATTTATCTTAACATGATTTGATCACTTATCCAAGACAGTTTTTCTCTACCGTAATGGTTGCAATGGAGGGTGGCAGTGTTTGCTGAAGTGTGAACTGTGGGTCACCAGCACCGTCATCTTCTGTGGCACTTGCCAAAAAGTGTCACTTCACACACACTAACAAAGAAGTCATGGGTCAGTCTAGTAATCTTCATTCTAAACAAGTAGTCTTGGTAAATCTTTTGCCCAAAACAGGTTGAGATCCCCTAGTATATGATATAAATAAATTAGTAGTACTAGATTAAGTATTTTTCAAATATTTATGTATTTCTTTAATTGTTGGTTTGGTACTAATAGTGTTAAAATGTTGATGATTTTAGAATAATTTTAGTTTTTATTATTATACATTAGTAGATCTGTAACTGGAAACAACACCTTCGTTTAAATGGTCTCTTCCTTGCACACATTATCTCCAAGAGCATGCAGCTTTTCATATTTTTAATATAAAAAATTATTATAGAAATTTATTCCAAACTTGCTGACATGTGGAAGGAAGTGTTCAATTGGTGGCAGACTAATCATTGTTTTTGCAGGGTTTGGAGCAAGAGAAAAATCCTCTACTGAATGATATGGGAAATCAGAGACCCCACATTTTCGTCCAATGTCATCAAGAAATATTTTTCTCCAGGCCATCATCTATAAAAGAGACACACTATATAAAATATGAATATTTATTTTTTCATATTTATTTTTTAAATAAATAAAACTGTTAATAATTTTCAGATTTGAATAATCAAAGACCCGTTTTAATATATCATTGTAAAATTGTTCACTAGTAGTATTAAATAATCCCTTTTTCATTTTATTATTTTGTTTTCATGTACGTTGAAACTTTTACTCTGTAAGTGACTAGTTAGGAATTTCGTCAACTCAAAGTACTCAATACAAGGAAGGGTCAATCAGTTTGCATTTGTGGGTGGTGCTTTAAGTAAGGGATAGCACTGTCTACATGTCTGTTGTCAAAATTTGTGTTGCTTCTCTGAGTCCCACTATCACCTTTACTCGCATTTAATGTGCAAATAAAAATATTCTAACAGCTATGGGCAGACATTTAAATAATGAAGCAGCATTGAGAAACACACTTGGCTTAACTTTGTTCACATTTTTTAGAGTTAGCACTTAGTAAATGCTGAGCAGGAAGCCATATTAAGTATTTACATTACAGTCTATCGTAACTTTTGTAAATTCACATTTAATTACAAATTTGAGTTTTTAAAATTTTTTATTTTAAATTTTTATGGGGTATATGAGATGTTTTGACACAGGTATGTAATATGAAATACTCACATACCAGAAAACAAAGTATCCATCCCCTTAAGTATTTATCCTCTGTGTTACAAACCATCCAATTACACTCTTTTAGCTATTTTAAAATGTACAATTAAGTTATTATTGACTTCAGTCACCCTATCGTGCTATCAAATAGCAGGTCTTATTCATTTTTTCTGACTATTTTTTTGATACCCATTAATCATCCCCATCTCATTCTGAGACCCCTACTGCCCTGAAAGACTCTGGTAACCATCCTTCTGCTCTCTATGTCCATGAGTTCAATTGTGGTGATTTTCAGATCCCACTCTTTCTGTGCCTGGCTTATTTCACTTAATATAATAATATCCAGTTCCATCCATGTTGTTGCAAATGACAGGATCTCAGTTGTTTTATGGCTGAATACTACTCCATTGTGTATACGTAGCACATTTTCTTTATCCATTCATCTGTTGACGGACACTTAGGTTGCTTCCAAATCTTAGCTGTTGTAAATAGTGCTGCAACAAACATAGGAGTGCAGACATCTCTTCAGTATACTGATTTCCTTTCTTTTGGGAGTATACTCAGCAGTAGGATTGTTACGTCATGTGGTAGCTCAATTGTTAGTTTTTCGAGGAACCTCCAAACTGTTCTCCTAATGGTTATTCTAATTTACATTTTTACCAACAGTGTACAAGAGTTCCCCTTTCTTTACTTCATTGGAAGCATTCATTATTGCCTGTCTTTTGAATAAAAGCCATTTGAACTGGGGTGAGATAATATCTCATTGTAGTTTTCATTTGCATTTCTCTGATGATCAGTGATGTTGAGCACATTTTCATATGCCTGCTTTCCATTTGTATGCCTTCTCTTGAGAAATATCTATTTAAATATTTTGCCCATTTTTTGCTTGGATTATTAGAGTTTTTGCTTTATAGTTGTTTGAACTTCTTATATATTTTGATTATTAATTCCTTGGCAAATGGGTAATTGAAATAATTTTCTCCCCTTCTGTCGGCTGTCTCTTCACTTTGTTGATTGTATTATAATACAAATTCGAAGTCATCATATTTAATTGTCTTATTGTTCACAGCCAAAACAGTTATAAGATCTTAAATTCCTTCATTACTTTGGATTTCAGAAGTACTTTGCAATGACTGAGAAGTTTAATCAAATACTTTATATCATAATCATGAATAGCAAAATCTGTCTTATAAAAGTATATTATGCTGATGAACTACCTTCACTGATAATTTACAATGTGCCCGAAACTGAGCCTGTTCACACCCTAGAAATTGTAAATTAGCAAATTTACAATTAGCAAAAGCTACAAATCAAGAGCTCCCTCTTCTCTACCCTCCTCATATAGTGTTTTTAAGCATTTACCACTGGAACAGGAAGCGGTATGAGTGAGGAGTTGGTATTAAGTGAAAAGATAAAGAGCGACATAGGTAATCCTGAAAAAAATCCTAATGAGAAATGCTCTTCTCTGTTTCAAATTGTCATATAATCACTTTAGCTTAAATGCAGCTCAGTGTGTGTGTGTCTCTGTGTTTGTGTGTCACATAGAAAACTAGTGGGAGGCAGCAGTATACTACAGCAGGAGCTAAAGTATAGTTGTCAAAAGCAAATTTGAAAGGGAGATCTTCCACAGTTTTAATTCTAATTCCTCTGTACTTTACTGAGTTTTCTTTAAGTTTCTGTTTCCTTATTTATGAAATGGGGATATCAATATAATCTACTGCAAAAGTTGGCTATAAAGATGCATTGAGACAAGGTAGGTAATAACCTTTTCCACACCAGTTGTTTAATAAAGGTCAATTATTGTCACTGTGATTGATGCTATTATTGTTCTAATTATCGTTCTTATTAATAGCAAGAAAACACATGTGTTCAATGTATTTTTCATTTTTGCCAATAGCTTAAAAATTTCCTTGGACATTTTTCAAAAAGAAAGATAATAGTAATAATTAATATTTAGTTTTTAATATTCACAAATTTGCTAATTATTTTGTGCCACATGCAAAGTGATTTATTACTTTTTGTCAGTTATCCCTGACAACTCAATAGGACAAGTATTATTGTTATTGTAATTTTAATTAATGAAGAAAATGAGCTCAAAAATGTTGTCAGTAGCTAAAGTAAGAATTCCAATGTAATTCTGAAGGATTAAAAATCTTGTGCTCATAGACTGCATGGAATGCAATCTCAAAAGTTAGTTGCAACACCACTTTGTAATATTTCCTAAACATTAGAAATATTATTTATTGGATTTTACCAGAGAATGAATTAAAATAATCAGCATGCTCTTTAACATTTTTATCCTCTATTAAAGTGTTCTAAATTTATGTGTATAAAATATTTAATATACTTAGTGAGAATGTTGGACTCTATATTAATGTGTTTGCTAAAGATAAAGAATTTATTGCATTATATAAGTGTTTTAAAGGTATTCCAGATCTGACCTAAATTTCAAGTCAAAGAAATTTTTGAGGGCAGTATTAGGTTGATTGGGCTGATTCCCACAGCTTTGCTTTCCTTAATATTCTTTCTACATCAGGAGAATTGGCAGCATTGTGAATCAATATCTAAAAGAATGCAGTCTTATCTTAAACTGAAAATATTATTTTAAAATTGTTTATGCTTAACTTTCTAAATTATAAAGTGTTATAAAGAAAAATACACCACATGAATCATTATTTAATGTATTTAAATTAAATTTTTTACTTCATAAATCACTCTACATTATAGGATTGATTAAAAGACCACAAGATATATTCTTACATAAGAAATTTTAAGAAAATATTCCAAAATTCATAAAACATTAAAGTTAGGCTTCCTCATTTGTATATATATTATACCCTGTGTTATTTTTGTATATACATAGATATACTTGCATAAAATCACATGCAACTTTCCTAGTTACCATAGCTTTGAAAGATGATATTTTTCATATGAATTATTCATAAAATCCTCAGGCTAATTTATACATGAAAGGAAAGAAAAATGTAACTCTTGATCATAAATCTTTATTTATGAACAGAAACCTTAAAGATTTATAATCGTTATATTATGGCAAGTTTCTATCATATGATGTATTAACTTGCAGTCATACCCTTAAGTAGAGAAGTCTTGTGATAGTATATAAATCACAGGATATTTGGTTTGGAAAAAACCCTCTTGGGGTGAACCTATTCACAATGCTAAGGGTTGGATGGGTGATTTCAATAACTTTCTAGGATTTCCAAATAGGCAAAATGAGTTTTATTTTATTATGAGGTAGCCCACCCTCATTCTCTGTCCATAAAAAGATATCTCATTGTAAACTAATTGTATAGATATACAAATTTAACACCTAAAACCAAAAATCTTGTATTAATTTAGATCAGTCATATGTATGAAATTCTCCATGACACTAGAATCCACAAAAAAATACAGTTCTTTACATTTACAAATAAAATTAAATTTTTGGGGTCTATATCACCTGAATTGTTAGAAATTATGATATTTGTGTGGAGGCACTTCTCTTTTACATTACAATTAAACAGGAATATATTATATACAATCAAAGTCAATTGGAGAAGAGTATTTTATTTTTAATTTAGTGTGATTTCTTTTAATACATTTAGTACATCAGTAGTTTTGACACTTACTTGCTATGTGATCTTGGGTAAGTTATATTACCTCTCTGTGTCTTGATTGCATAATTTTTATAATAAAAAATAGTCATTTTATAGGGATAGTATAAACATAATGATTTAATACATGTAAAGTATTTAGAAAAAAATTTGCATAAAGCATATACTGAATAAAAGTAGCTGTTATCCATTAAAGCCAGGCCAAACTGCTGGAAGCAACCACTCTCTCCCTTCCAACTTGGATATGAGCTCATGGGTCTGTAATTTTTACAGATTATTTGTCAATTTTCCACACAGCTTCCCATCAAGGTTTCTTCTACATTTTGCATAGGGAATATTGATGAAGTCTAATTTCCTGTTTCTCAAAACTCTTCCCTCTACCCCTAAAATTTTGTATTTTGAAAATATTTTTATGGTTTCTCAATTAGTTGCTCTGTTATATAATATTTGCAATATTGTTTATTAAGAATTTTAAGTCATTAAGAAGGCTCTTTAAACTAGAAGAAAGTAATGTATAAATGATTTTCAAAAATATAATTGAATCTTCTTAAGATAAGGTTTATAATTACAAAAAAAAAAAGCACTGAAGAGGTATTTTGGCAAACTCAATATATTGTTCCCATACATTAACACAGTTATTTATGATAACTACATTAAACACGGTGTGTAGGTGATTTCTTCATACAGGTTATGTCCTACAGAGATTTAATTGTTTTAAATACAATAATATGAATACAGTCTCATCTCATTTCCTTAGTCCTTGAGAAATATCATTTTTACAGCTCCTTTTTATGTAAGATTATTTTATCATGGATTAACAGTTTTACTTTCCTGCATAATGAAATTTACTAATCCATAGAGTGATAAGGAATTTGTTCTTACCATTGTTTCTGCCTTGAATTTCTTCTCTGCTCTTAAACCACAGTTTGTTATGATGA
The DNA here is from genome assembly GCF_000001405.40 of Homo sapiens. Classification (NCBI taxonomy): domain Eukaryota; kingdom Metazoa; phylum Chordata; class Mammalia; order Primates; family Hominidae; genus Homo; species Homo sapiens. The sequence goes on along the minus strand of NC_000004.12, from coordinate 135,519,245 downwards.
TTCCGGCCCTCTGCTTCTTAGAAGCACCCTTCCCTTAACCTAGAACCATCCTCCGTTGCTCATTCTGCCTTGCCATGTTCCCTCAGAGCAATCTTTTATTATCTACACTGGAGATTATTAGAAGTACTTTATTAAAGGAACAGATGGATTTAAGCCTAGCTGCACAGTGATGGAACAACAGATACTTAAATGGGTATCCTACAGGTTAAGACCCTTTCTGATTATGGATACCATCTAAGTCTTTATTTGTTTCTTCACCTTTCCTCAACCAATCCTTTCTCCTCATGAATCCCATTACTTCCTCTGTCAGTTTTTGCCTCTTAAAACAAAATTTTTCAGGTTTGGCCAGAAGTTACAGGAGGTCCCCTTCTGATCATCTGATTTGTCACTCTAGCTTGATGGAAAGAATAATTATACTTCCATGGTTAATGCAAAGCTAGGTGTTCAAAGAACATTCTATTCTCTTAACTGTCAATATATTTTTTATTAGTTTTATAGAGGCAATAACACCTCTGTAATGTATAAAAATTACCTTTCATTAATAAAAAACAATCATATCATCTCAAAATAAATGCAAGCTAATTATATGTGGGAAATAAATGCCTACTCTACCCAGCACCTTGTCTTTGCCATTGCCATATCTGAAACAACAAACTTCACCATAATCATGCAGAGGAGCATTTATGGGATTCTCCTTCTTAACTAAGCTCCATTGCAAGGACCTTCATGGGCTATAAATGCTTCTTTATATTTTTCCTAGAAGCATGGTCCAAATTTGATACAGTTCTTTTTATTTCATCTTTCGCCTTATTATCGGGGGAAACAGATAAAGGAGGAGGGATGCTAGTCAAACTACAAAATTAGAAACATGTGTAAGAACAAATTCATTTTTATATTGCTTATACTTGTATTAATTTTATCTACAAAATCTCAAAGAGCTTCTTAGATATCTTGTGCTGTGAATTGTTTAAAAATTATTATTGTCGGCTGGGCGCGGTGGCTCACGCCTGTAATCCCAGCACTTTGGGAGGCCGAGGCAGGCGGATCACGAGGTCAGGAGATCGAGACCATCCTGGCTCACACGGTGAAACCCCCGTCTCTACTAAAAATACAAAAAATTAGCCGGGCATGATGGCGGGCGCCTGAAGTCCCAGCTACTCAGGAGGCTGAGTTGGGGAACGGCGTAAACCTGGGAGGCGGAGCTTGCAGTGAGCCGAGATCGCGCCACTGCACTCCGGCCTGGGCCACAGAGCGAGACTCTGTCTCAAAAAAAAAAAAAAAAATATTATTGTCATTCTAGTGGTCAAATAAACAGAGGCTTTGCATGGTTGAGATATCTTACAAAGAAATACTTTTTATTTAAATCAGCTGTACAAAACTTCTCAATGCATATGAAATAAATCACATATTCATCTGATGGTTGGCATTTATAAATGACATTGAAAAGGAACATGAAATGGACCATTTTTAAATATGGGAATAGAGTATATAACTCATGCTTATGGGTAATGGAAGAGGTTAAACAGGCCGTGAACCTAGGAATAAAATATCTTCTTCACATGTGCTTCAGAGACATGCATGGATATTTTGAGAATAGAGATTGCTTTCACTGTGTTGAGGGTGAGAAAATTAATTTGAAGAAGACATAGATAGATTTATAGATGACTTATTCTTATGTTTGAATAATCCATGTCGACTTTCTTTCAGAAAGAATCAAGATCATAAACTATTTTCTGCTCATTTTCCTAATCAACCAATATGTTCCTTCCTGCCTCTTCCTTGCTTTTTCCTTTTTTAAATGTAGCTCTAGTTATTATTGGTTCATGTTGATCACTTGTAAATTAACTTTGAGGTAGATACACAGTTATCTCTCAGTATGTCATTGTTTTTCTTGTCTGGGGTCGAAGATATTTTATTGGTCTTCATAAATGCTTTAAACAATTTGAAAACAATAATGCAATGCATAGAAAGAAAAACATTTTATGTGTTCTCTGTCTTTATACAAACACACCTAATCACACACAGAAATGTATGAATGTAGGAATGCATGTATATGTATGTTTGTTTTTATACCTATATATTTTATATTTGAAATTAAAAGTAATAAACTTACGTATACTCATCATACCCAATATACTCTATCTTCTTTTCTTTTTCAGTCAAATGGACTTAATTTATCTAAAATAATCTTTTCAAGTCTGTTTTATTCTTTTATATTCTATCTTATTTTTTAAAATGCTGGCCAAAATCTAGCATATAGATTTCATAGCCCCCTATTTGTTACAACTTATTTTGAAAACAGTATTTCCGATCAGATCTGGTAGAGAAAACAAAAACAAAAACATTCATTTCAGTTTAAATATAACGTAGTCAACAAAAAAAGTGAAATAAGTAACTTCATTACTTTAGGAGAATAGTAGGCAAAAGAGTGTACATTATAAAGTAGTAAATGCCTTGAGAAAGTGATGTATAAAATGTTTAGTCCCTGTCACACTAATATAGGGATATTATGAAAGTGTAATATTTTCCTCTCATAAAATAAGAACCATATGGAATAAATCATTTTATAAAAATTTAGTGATGAGAATTACTATTATGAAGTGAAGGAAAATTAGATTTGTAATAAATTATCCCTTTTACTTTAAAAGGTCCCTAAGTAGCTGTGTTGCTCACCACATTAGGGGTTGTGAAAAATAGAACCCCATTTCAGGCAATGGCCTAAGGTTCTTTTTTTCTGACTCCACACCCTTCCTCAACACATATTCAAGGCACTCTTGGACATCATGCTATAAGAATATGATAGCAGGGGAGTTGTTCAGAAATCATTGCTGCCTAAACTTACAGGAGACTGACAACTATTTAGAAAAGCATTTTGAAAACAAAAATAAGATATTGACTTCTAAAACCATTGTAAAGTTAGACTTCAGAAATAACAGTACATTAAGAAAGATATGCATGCGTGCACGTGCACACACACACACACACACACAGAGAGAGAGAAAGAGAGAGAGAGAGAGAGACACCAGGTAGTTAAATAAAGAAAATTATGCATGTCTAAGGCCACTTGAGATTGTAATTATTCTCTCTGTGATGAAAGAAAACCCAGATTTTTAACATTTAAGAAGTCGGGAATAAAGTTGTTCTGTTCAGAAATTAATAGCTTAGAGGAAATATACAAAGGTTTATATTTTTAGGGAGACCAGAAATAGAAATGGTGATTTAGCTGTTTTTTGTTTTTGTTTTTGTTTCTGTTTTTTTGAGATGGAGTCTGGCTCTGTTACCCAGGCCACAGTGCAGTGGCATGATCTCGGCTCACTGCAACCTCCGCCTCTCGGGTTGCATCAGTTCTCCTGCCTCAGCCTCCCAGTAGCTGGGATTACAGGCATGCACCACCACGTCCAGCTAATTTTTGTATTTTTAGTAGAGATGGGGTTTCACCATGTTGGCCAGGCTAGTCTCGAACTCCTGACCTCAAGTGATCCGCTCGCCTCGGCTTCCCAAAGTGCTGTGATTACAGGCGTGAGCTACCGCGACCAGCCTGATCTAATTGTTTTTAGTTCATCTCAGTGTGTCACTTTTTTGTTTCATTTTCTGACTATGGAATGTGAAGTGTACGCAAGGCAGATTATCAGTTTTGTTTTCACACTGTCTTGGGCTATTTTGATAGAGGGAGAATCTGCCTTCATGACGTCATCTCCACCCAATATGTCCAAGCCCTTCACCCTTTATGGGAGGTTATGGGAGTGGTTAAGGAGCAGGACAGGTTAAGAAGAATATTGAGAACAGTGGGTATTCATATTCAAAGACTGATGGGCCGTCCACTGTTGGCAGTCTGTATGCTCAGAATTCCTGTGGTTTCTGCACAGCAACTGGACATCAGTGCTAAAATCCCTCTTTACTCTCTCACATGCAAGGCACTGGCACCTCTCTATTCCATCTCCCTAGTTCCAGTGTTCCCTCCTTACAAGCATTGTGTCTTTGAGGAGTTGAAAATTCACTCTGAAAGGTGCTACCAGAATCTTGATGACACATGCTCCAGCCAAAGGCACCTTTGAGAATTGTCTCTTGGTAAGAATAGTTTTTTGTTGTTGTTCATTTTTGTTTTTGTTTTTCAATTGTATCTCAGAGCATGAGTGAAAGAGCAAACTAGGAGAGAAGCCAGAATATAAAATGTTTTTATATAACCTTGCCACATCAATTTTATCATTTTTATTGTACTTCATGAACAAATGGCCTTATTTAATTATTTGTATATTATTTTATAAATTTACGTATTTATTGTATTTTATAATAAGGGATACAATATAGATAAATTATACATTTTTTAAGGTGAAAAATTTTGTTCACTATCTTTGCAACCTAGAATAGTACGTTCCAAGTTGTAGGCAGTCATGTTTGGTTCATAATAGTAACATATTATGGAAAACCTGTAGGAAAATGTTTTCTTGTGACCAGTATTTCTGCCCTGTTTCCCTCTTGAGACATATAATATTAAAGAATAAATGATTTAACAAATACAAGATATATATGAAAGTCATAAAAAACAACTTTAGGTTACTGGTTATCTCTGAAGAGTGAGGATGGAAGAAGTGATGGGAATGGTGCTTTTGTTCACTCTTTAATGTTTATTTATTTATTTATTTATTTATAAAATGCTGAAACCAAATGATGAAAACATTACCATGCATTAAATTTGGGGTTTGATAGAAACATAACTTATGTTATACTTTTGGTCAGTTTATTTCATATCTTTCAAGATAAAAAAACTTAAACTTTTTATAAGTATAAATACCTGGCTTAGTCCAATCAGTTAAAAAAAATCTTAATATAAATGCCTGCCCCTTGGAAAATAATTTTACAGAAAATAGGAGCATTTAAACGTTCAAAACTTTCAAATAAAGGTTTTCTGATAGTAACTGTGTTATCTTCAGCAGATATACAATTTTTCAATATCTAGAGTTAAACACATATGGGGCTAAACCCCTGGAGATGGTTGTTAACTCAGAATTTTAATAAGACATCACAATTATTGAGAGTGGCTAATGCCACACTATGAAGAAAAAATACACTTCTTAATCTATGAAGCCGTTGAGGGTTGGGATGTCATATTTTATTGATGTTAATTTCAACACTGTCCAGCTGGCACATAGAATGCCCTCAATTGTATTTTGTTACTATTACGCAAATCGATAAATATTGCCATGTTTAACATAGAAATTACTATGTAAAATGAACTACAAATCATAGAGGAATTGTATTGATAAATATTTCTTACAGCTATTGGTGAAAAGTCTTAGGCAGGTGTAACAGAGAAAGCTTTCTGTTCTAATCTAGCCAAGAGTCTTTTTCTTGTGATATCCAAATTTTGTTGATCTTTTTTTATTTCCCACATTTTATTTCTCACATCAAATGATTTAAACACATAATGTTATTATCTTGAAACAGAAAATTTACAACAGTTATTGGTAAAAATTCTGTGTCTGTTTTTGTAAATCCTCAACGAATACTTTAAATAGAACATTATCAATATTATATTTATACAGATTATACTTGCCTCTAATTTGCTCTTCAAAATACCTTCCTCACCAGTTATACTGCTGCAGAAAAGTTTTGTTTTGTTTTGTTTTGTTTTGCTTCATACATAACCCTGCATATCCATGGCCCTGATCTGTAACAGGGCTATTCATTCTCTTAAATGCTGGACTTGTTTTATGTTTCCTCTAAGACAGTAATTATAATTTCCAAGTTGAAATATCATTTAAAATCAGATTGCCTTCTTCTCCCCGTGCTCAAGAATATACAGAAATAAGGCTGTCATGAGATTATCGGAGTAATCTCTTCACAATATATCTTCTTGAGTATCTTTTTAGTTCACGGCCATATTATGTGCACAATTATTTGTGTTATGTCTTTTAATCAATTTTTATTTTCTTCATGTATACAATGCTCAACAGACAATTATTCTAAAAGTGGTAGTCTTAATCTCATTATCCACTAAATACTATAAAATGAGCATCTTGAGTATTCTATCTAAATCAATATACTTCACTATAAGAATCTCTTAAAAGTGCAAATAAAATTCATATTAATATTTATGTGCATCAAATATTTGGTAAAATTTAATAAAAGTCACGATAAAAATAACAGTCATAAAGTAAGGTGCTCTGCTACCTCCACAGAGTTTTTTTATTTGCAGATTTATATAGCAGTGAAATCAGAAGGGCAAATAGTCAATATAAACATATTTTATTGCACTGTCTGTTTTCACCTGATTTGTTGCTTGACAACATTTGTATTTACTGATGGCACTAAAAATGAAATGGATAAATAGAATGTGAAGGTATTTTTAACAAGTCTTGATGGCTTATATAACATTTGGAATTTTAAAATTGCCTTATTTTATGAGTTGTAAGATCAAACTTTCCCAACTGCATTATAAATACACAGCAAAAAATTTAATATGATGTCACAGAAATGAATAAACATTATTGTTTATTGAAAGACAATATTTGAATGTAATAATTTGAGGATAATATTTCTTAAAATTTTTTGATAGTGTTTTGTATGTGAACTTTGACCTTATATAATTATATTTATAGCTTTATAAAATATTTCAGATTTTCTTACTTAACAATTTACAATGACAATTTTAAAATTTTTGCTTATTATTCTCTTTAATTGTACGAAGGTTTTGTAAGGTAATTTATAAAAATTGATTCAATTTGTCATACCCATTCTGCAAGATAGATATCTTAATTTTACACTTGTAATATGTGAAATTTAGAACTATTTTAACTTGGCCATGATCATTTGACTAACAAACTGACAGTGCCAGAATTCATAATTTGCACTGAGTTCTGTCTGTTTTCATAACTTTAAGCTGTTTTCTACTTTGAATTACTTATGATCAAAAATTTTCCTCCAAAATAGTGTTTAAAACTTTACTTAAAATAGGGAGTTATAATAATAATAATACTTAAAGATTACATATTTTTTACATATTTCAAAAAATAATTCCTAGGTATTTTTATTCTGGTCACCTATATGTAATGGAATGAGGAGTTCAAACTAGCACTGCTGAAAAATGCTCTCTAGAAAAATATATTTTCATGACACATCTTTGAGTTAAGACTTTCCAATAAACTAATAAGTGAAAGAATTTTAGGAACTTTTTTAAACAAAGAGAAAAAACTTGTTAAACCTTGGCTGGTTCAAATATAGTTGATGTATTCCTGGCTATGTAAGAAGATCTTTGCCTTTCCTTTTATCCCTTTCTGTCTTACAACAGAGGATCTAGGTGGAGGAAAAATCTCAGACCTGGCAATATTCTTCACACCAGCTAAACAAAGATAAAGGAAGAATTTACTAAATATATTTTCTTAAGAAGAATATAAAATATAAAGAAATGTAATAAGAATATATTTAACCTAGAACCATCAACATAATGGTTTGAAGACAAAATAACCTAAGGCTCCATGCGGTGTATTTTCTAATGATCATGTAACAGTTTGATTGAGCTCCAATTTTAAATAGTATTACAAGTAATGAAGCATAATAATTAGGTAGCTACAAAAAAAATGGAATAAAGATGATTAATGCTTCCTGATAATTATATTAATTATAGTTATATATATAAGAATGTATCATGAATAATTTTCAGACAAATTGCTAGAAAGGGAACATAGATAAAATTTTCCAAAATTTGGGGTGAGAATGTGGAACAGTAGTCCAGATTTTTAAGATTACTCCATTTTTCAATTTGTGAGAACCTTCAAAACACTTTTTCAAATAAGATAATGAAAGAGAAGCATAGTATATTGTAGAGTAGGAGAAAACAGAACAACAACACAAAAAGACTGACCTTAGTTCCTTTTGCCACCCCAAAACATAAGTAACTCATTTATATGTAAGGAAAAGTATTTGGATGTATCCACTATCCTTGGAATTGCAGTTAAGATACAAGGCAGAGAATAAGGGTACTTAATACTCACACCCTAAAAAGAGCTGTTAAACAGGCTCCAAAAATAGAGCCAGAGTCTACCCCCGAGCACTGCCTTATCCATGCTTATAAAAAGCAGAAGAGGCCCTACCATCTTTATCCACTGCTACACCAACTTCCCATCCATTCCTCCCCAAACACATCAGAACCACCACCATCAACAACAACAACAAAGATTATGCTGAGTGACTTGAAGAAAATATAGGGTATTTATTACATGGGAATTATTGTAAAATAACTATGACACTGCTTAATCATGGAACTTCCCAGTTTATCATCAAGAAGCACAGGAAGAAATTCCCCTATGGAAAAATTTGTTTAGGGAACAGTGGGGGACAACATTAGCCCATAATTGAGCTTCTGTGTAATCTTGTTTTGCACCCTAATCACATGGGCTGCACACTCCTATAGGGAACCCACAACATCTAGAGAAGCAACAAGCATCAGAAAGTGAAACTGACTACAATGGATATGGGATAAGGGCATCTTCCTTGAGCAAGGTATGACTGGTTATGTATGCAAGAGGATCTTTGTATTCTCTTTCCCCTTTTGTGCCCCACACCGTGGAATCTGGGTGGATCTGGTGTCTCAGGGCCAGTTAAGGGTCCTCTCCTCCATTTCTGCAATGGCTGTGCTGTGAAAATGGGAGTAAATAAACTCTGAACTGGATCTGAGATTAGAGTTTTAAAGCATATTGGACTAAGTTTTAATAAACAACATAACCAGAAGATGACAGAATTTAAGTATTAAGAGGACAAAGTCTTGGTGCAAATCAAAGGTTTGAAATAGCACAGGCAAGGGGCAATTTTTGGAAAACAGCATTTTCAGCTGAAACTACCTAATAAACTATCAAGTTTATTTATCAAGTTTATCAATTAACTATCTAAGCTGATTATGTATATTTTGCCATCTCAGAATTATTGGGTAGATGTTTTTATTGAGCAGAGATGGTTCAAAATTTTCTGTGACTATCACGTGTCTGCACTCAACACAAAAATGAATATTAACAGTAATTCTTTTATACCAGAAGATAAAATTCTCCTTGTTTTACAGTAGCAAATTTTTTTAGCTAAAATAGTTATGTTGGCTTTAGCTGTTTAAATAAAATATAGCATTTCTGTGAATGGTAAGACTTATGGAAAATTGTTGATATTTCACATAGAAGATAGTTCACTTCAACTTTGATTGTGATGTTTTTATAGTTAAAATTTTAAATGAATGTTACATTGCTCTTTCTCAAATTTATGTTTGAAGAAATATTTTGTGAAAATTATTTCCACTTGTGAATTATTCTGTCTGCACAACTTGCTTCAAATTATTTGCAATCAATTTTATTGAATTGCTGAACTATCTAGATATGTTATGTTTGATTGTATCTAGATGTTGTCTTTGTATAAAAAATTCTTTTTTGTATGACTTACTCTTTTCCCAAGAACAGGCAGTACCATTTACAAGATATATATGAAATAATATAAGGCAAAGTTACAAGCACTAAGTTATCTTAGACATTTTACTACCCTCAAGACATCTTATTTGTGATTCACTGTTTTCATTAAGTTCTCTTTCCAACAATAGTGTTTAAGTTTAAGGCCATTTATTTTTACTTCTTTCTGCTCTGAAGGGATTCACTCTGCTTGGTATCTAGCATGTAGCCATCTGACGGTTTTGTTTTAACTTTAAAGTTGTTTTTTTTTTTCAGTTCCATCCTGACAAAAAGTAAACATAAATATATTTTCTTACCCAGATAATTTAACAAAAAAAAGAAAAAAATCTACCTAGTACGTAGAAATGTCAGTGTAACAATTGTGTTCTATATGAAATCATTAGAATAAACTTCCCAATATACAAAACAAATTTTCCTCTGTTTATTTATAGGAGTGGAGAACTAGACTGAGAAATTTTCCACAGCTTTGTTAAATAATAAATTGAAAAAATTTTTGCTTCAGACATTTAACTTCTCTGTACAACATTTAAACAATTAGATTTTCTATATATTAGAAGAAATGAGCCATATTAAGATTCATCATTAAAAGAACGTACACTTAGGCCGAGGGCGGTGGCTCACGCCTGTAATCCCAGCACTTTGGGTGGCTGAGGCGGGTGGATCATGAGGTCAGGAGTTGGAGACCAGCTTGGCCAACATGGTGAAACCCGTCTCTACTAAAGGTAAGAAATTAGCTGGGCGTAGTGGCAAACGCCAGTAATCCTAGCTACTCCGGAGCCTGAGGCAGGAGAATCATTGAAACCCAGAAGGCGGAGGTTGCAGTGAGCCGAGATCGCGCCACTGGGCGACAGAGCAACTCCATATAAAAAAAAAAAAAAAAAAAAAAAAAAAAGAACGAGAGAACATACATTTCAATTTATCATCATAATATACTTAGGGAAAAAAGTATGCTATTTTGCAATTAATAGCACCCCCACACAATTCCATGCATGTTAATATCTTGTAAATCTTAATATAATTTAAATATGTAACTGATGAGATAATTACTATAAAAATAAATTGTATTAAAAAAATTAGAATAATACACTCAGGTCTCAATATCTACTTTTTGTGTTCATTTCTTAATTCCCAAATGGAAGTATAGGAAACAATAAAAAGGATTACCAATTTCACCAGACTCCATCAAATTCTCATTGTTACAACTATTTCAGAGTGGGTAGATACTCTGAGTTGCTGACTCAACAGACACACCCTACGTTCTTCCTTTATAGGAGAAACTTGATTTTCTTAAGAGGTCAGTGTGCTCAAAGGCGGGAAATGACTCATGATTTCTAATCATTGAGTTGTCTTCAGCTCATTTGCTAGATCCTGGCCACTGGATTTACAAGAATCTGTGATGGGAGGACATGGGGAGGACTTTGCTTTCCTGGTAAAATAAATTGAAGCTGTCTTCACTGTTTTACTTTCTTAAAGTGCATATTTACTATAGTTATAGAAACCATAGAGTTACCATACAAAATCATGGTGAAAATCAAAAGTCAATAGAATAAAGGTGGCAGAGTGTTCACACAGAATGGACCAGGGTTCTTTGGTGACGTCACTGAAATTTCAACTTTAAAAAAAAGTGAGCAAACTTGCTCATGATTGCCACGAAACTTGGGACCAATTACAATGTGATAACTAGAAGGAAAAAGCAATACTTACTAGGATTGAATTGTGTCCCTCCCCAGCAAAACATTACTTTGGACTACTAACCACCAGTACCTCAGAATGTGATTTTATTTGAAGATAGGAATTTTACAGAGGTAAGAGAGTTAAAATGAGGTCAACAGGGTGCACCCTAATGTAATATGACTGCTGTTTTTTTTAAAAAGGGGAAAATTTGGATGCAGACACAGACAAGCACACAGGGAGAATACCATGTAAAGAGTGGAGTTATGCTGCCACAAGCAAAGGAACTACCAGAAGCTAAGAGAAGCCTGGAACAGATCCTTCCCCAGAATCTTCAGAGAAAGCATGGACTTACTGATGTCTTCATTTCAGACTTCTGGCCTCCAGAACTGTGAGACAACAACTTTCTTTTCTTCTAAGCACCCAGTTTGTGTTAACTTGTTACAGCAAGAAAGTAATATGATATTTAAGTTTTAAAAATGAAATAATTTTTATTTAATTACTTGCTGAGTAAAGTGAAAAGATTTTAAAACAAACCTTACCTGTAAAAATTATTTAGTTGAGCTCATTATTCTATATATGTAATGAGGGCAATAAATATAATCGACTTTCTAAAATGAGGCTAATATTATTTCTTAGTCTTTGAGAAAGTCTGCAATAGAAAATCAGCATTTATTTGTTCATTAGATTCCCATAGACTTAGGTAGCAATAAAATATCTTTAAATTTCAGTCTATTCACAGTGCACCCTTCAGATCAGTTTACTTTGATGTCTTTATAATGCAATCATCCAATCTATTCTCAATCCATGCTTTCTTATTCATTCAGCATAACAATATCATATGATTTATCTTTTGAATAAGGTGATGCTTTTCTCAAACTGTATATGATTCACAAATTGCTTTCTTCAGCAGAGAGAAATGTGAGCTCATTTCCTGCCAAACAAAGTAACTGCATAAGAAGGGAAGAAACATATTAAGAGGGTGCAAGTTTTATCTTTGTACAGAAAAGAATGTGGCATTAAAGTCATTTTTGTTATGAAAGCTGAAAAAGCAAAGGTCTAATGTTCATCTATTCCAGGATAATAGGCTAGAAGTTAAACATTTAAAGAATGAAGACATTCTCTTCTGTACAACCCTAGCTAGAATAAATTCTAGATGAATTTTGCAACAAATCATATGATTCTACATAAATCAAAATTTTGTAGGCATACAATTTTGTTAAGTGAGTTTTCTTGACAGTGAACAATTCTATTAGTAAACAAGGCATATTAACTGATTAGATATCCTTGCTGATGCCTTATTAAATGACAATCACTTAAGGAAAAGGTGCATCATCAGATGACATATTTTCCTAAATTGGGGTAACCAAAGCAATAATTATATTTGTAACAATTAAGGATTTTACTAATTGGCTGTATGCTCTTTCTGTTTGAAAGAATGAAAATCAGTGAATCCTCCACAGACTTTCACTTCCATTACAAATTTTCTGTGCTTTGCACAATATACCCGTTTGAGAATTCAGAAAATGGCACGCTAAAAATAAGAAAACTTGTATAACCTCCCCAGTGCTGAGTTCCCCGAAGTTCTTCCACTAAGAAATACTTATTTTAATAAATCACCAATATAAATACTATTTATTATCCAAAGGATGAGACTGTAAAATATAAAACTTCAAGAAATTAAAGTCTAGTAAAATGTCTTTTTTTTTTTGACAGATCATTCCCATAAAATGGATTTCCAGGAAAAACTTAATATTACATATGTCTTTCAGTGGACAAATCATTGAATAGATGTAATAGGCAATATTTAGCCTGTGGGCTGTACTTTGCCCACCCCTATTCATTCTAGAATATTAAGTTCTATGGGCTTGATAGCTGATATGGGTTGAGTTTTTGTCCCGGTCCAAATTTCATGTTGAATTGTAATCCCCAATGTTAAAGGAGGGGCCTCGTAGAAGGTGATTGAACCATAGGGCGTATTTCCCCTTTGCTTTTCAAATGATAGTGAATGAGTTCTCATGAGATCTGGTTGTTTAAAAGTGTGTGGCACCTCCCCCTTCTCTCTCTTCTTCCTCCTCTAGTCATATAAGATGTGATTCCTTCCTCTTGGCCTTCTGTCATGATTGTAAGTTTCCTGAGGTCTCCCCCACCATGCTTCCTGTACAGCCTGCAGAACTGTAAGCCAATTAAACCTCTTTTCTTCATAAATTGTCCAGTCTCAGGTAGTTGTTTGTAGCAATGTGAGAACGAACTAATACAATAGCCTATTTATTTGTCTCTTTGTGAAAAGAATAGATGTTCTTGCATTCAAGCTTAGGTCTCTTGAGCCTAAAGTTCATGTCGTTTTAGGAAGGACAAACAAGGAAAATATGAGAAGTATAATATGGCATAATACATAAATCTATATTCAAATCTTTAGTGTTCAATGTCATGCTATTGAACCATACAGTGTGGTTTAGTGAATTATATTTATGTCTCCTCTTATCTTTGCTAGGTAGATACTTGCACAAGATCTATTCTTTTATCTTCTTAATACACATGCATTCTCCCGACATTATTAAAAGTAAAATAATATACTGTGCCAAGGAGAGCAAAAGAAAGGGAAAGCTGATTTGTGAGTTTACTATCATCATATTTTAAATTATGTAAAAGAGATATTTATTACATGTTAGAAAAAACAGAAAAAATGTATAAATTAGAAACTATGAGTCATCTGTATTTTTCTGGGACTTAACACTTTTACTCAACCTTATGTTTTTAGCATAATCCAAGTTGAAGACTGCATTATGTTCATTTTCATTCTTATGTAGTATTCCAGTTTTCTAGTATTATTTATTCTTTCTCTTTTGATAGAGACAAGGGTTGTTCCCATTTGTGGCTATTATGTACAATACTTCTATAAACATTTTGTACATAGATTCTGGTATACCTGCGTGGACATTACTCACATATGTACTTAGTAATGAGACTTTAGGAAATTTATACACATCCTTGACTCCCTTAGATGTATGAAGTTATACTCCCAAAGTCAGTGAATGGATGATGGATATCCTTATTTTTCTTTTATCTCTCTCTCTCTCCAATTTAATCATCATTTTAGTAACATTTTCTAAGTTCCAGGCACAGCTCTACATGTAGATCTTACAAGATTAATTTATCTCAAAAATGTCACAATGAAATATACATTGTTATAAACTCTTTGCATACAGGAAGTAGCAAAGGGAAATAGAATTTCGATTAGGAGACTGTGTTCAGCAATACATCAGTTCCTGCCTCTAGGCCCTGTAAGATGGAGTCTGAAAAGAGTTCCTTGGCTTTATAAACAAACTATGGTAGTCTTTATTAGAGCCTTTTCATGAAAGCCTAAGAGATTACCAGGGACTAAAGAGGGAATGACAGGGAAGAATGCGAGCTATACATGTGACACTTTGAATAAGCTTGGTTTGGGGAAAGCAGAACAGAGTATGAAGATGGACTTGGAAAAGAAAGGGTGGAGGTCTCCCTTTTAGTTAAGGTATGATTTACATATATTTTTTAAAATATGTCAGTAAGTGACTTTATATGTCACGTTTCTTTTTTTCAGTGAATGATATTCTATTGTATGGGTGCACCACTATTTGTTTATCCATTTACCTATTGGAGGACATCTTCACTGTTTCCAGTTTCTGTCAGTTATGAACAAGTCATTGCATATGTTCGTGGGAAAGTTTTTGTGTGTGAGCATAAGTTTTCAAGGGTAAATACCTAGAAGTATGATTGTAGGATCATGGGGTAATACCATGATTAGCTTTGGAAGAAGCTGCCAGTCTTTCAAAGCGTTTCTATCAGCAATGAACAAGAGTTCCTGTTGCTTTGATTCTCCCTAACATTTGGTTTGTCAGTTTTTTGGATTTTAGTAATTCTAATGGATATGTAGTAATATCTCATTGTTGTTTTAATTTGCAAATATTTAATTCCCTAATATAAAAGAATGAACATATTTTTATATTACTTGACATGTTATTATTTAGTGAGAAGTATCTTTCAGAACTTTTGCTTATTTTTTCATTGGGTTGTACACTTTCTTATTGTTGAATTTTAGTTGTTCTTTGTATATTTTGGATACAATGCCTCTATCAGATATGTGTTTTTCAAGCATTTTGGCCCAATCTGTGGCTTCTCTTTTTATTTTCTTAACATTACTTTTGGCAGACTTTTAGTTGAATTTAACTAAACATTTTTTTCATGAATTGTGCATTTGATGTTGTATATAGTAACTAATTGCCAAGTGACTCAAGGTCACTTAGATTTTATGTTATATTATTTTTTAGAAGCTTTATAGTTTTGCATTTTACATTAGGTCTATGATCTATTTTAAGTTAATGTTTTAAAAGATATAAGGTCTGCATATAGACTCTGATTTTTGTTTTGTTTTACTTTTTCTTACTTGCATTTTTTTTGGCATATGTACATTCATTTGTTCAAACACCCTTTGTTAAAAAGACTATTCTTTTTCCATTGAATTGCCTTTGCTCCTCTTTCAAAAATCGGACTCTGTTTGTTTGTATCTATTTCTGCTCTGACTACTGTTCTATTGATTGATATATATTATTTCACCAATAGCATGCATTCTTGATCGTTATAACTTTATAGCAAGTCCTGAACTTGATATGGTTTAGCTGTGTCCCCACCAAAAATTTCATCTTGAATTGTAATTCCCATAATGCCATAATCTCCACATGTCAAGGGAGAGACCAGGTAGAGGTAATTGAATCATGGGGCCAGTTTTCCCCATGCTGTTCTTATGATAGGAAGTGAGTTCTCATGAAATCAGATGATTTTATAAATGTTTGGCAGTTCCTCTTGTGCTCATTCTCCTTCTTGCCACCTTGTAAAGAAGGCACCTTGTTTCCCCTTCTCCTTCCACCATGATTGCAAGTTTCCTGAGGCCTCCCCAGCCATGCTGAACTGTGAGTCAATTAAACCTGTTTCCTTTATAAATTACCCCGTCTCGGGCAGTTCTTTATAGCAATGTGAAAATGGACTAATACAGATGTTAAGTAATGCCAGACTTTCAACTGACATTTCAACATTTATACACATTTAGTTCATTCTGCTAAACATTTTCCAAATGCTCTCACTCAAAATATAAGATAGGTTCACCTGCTCCACATTCTTCTCAACATTTGTATGGTCTTTTTCATTTTTAGACATTCTGATGGGTGTCTAATAATATTTTGCTGGGATTTAATGTGCATTCTTCTATTGAAAATGACATTTTTGGCAATCCTTTAATTAAGTTGTCTTTGTGATTTTCTTGTTGATTTTCAAGAGCTGATGGTGTTTTCTGGATATAATTATTTTGTGATATATGTGGATAAAAATATCTTTTAAAGTCAATTTTAATTAAGTCTGATTTATTACTTTTATGGTTAACTTTTTTATATTCTCTTCTAAGATTATGATAACATTATAGTATACTTTTTCTAAAAGCTTGATTGGTTTAGCTTTTAAGTCTTTAAACATCTTGAATAATTTTTTATAAGATTGGGGTCAAATTCTCATTTTGTATTTTCATTTTGGGTAGATAATTAACAAACTATCATTCATTGAAAATACTTTTATATTGAAATTCACTGTGACTTTGTTTGAAACGAGGTGAATATATGTGTAGGTCTCTGTTACATTCTGTTGGTCTATTTTTCTAACCCATAATAATAGACACTATCTAAATTATGGTAATTTCATAATAGATCATGAAATCTGTTGATGCAGGTCTTTTGATTTTACTTTTCTTCTCCAATGTTGCCTTGGCTTTTCTAGTTCTTTTGCACTTCCACATGAATTTAAGATTCAGATTATACACATATATACACTGACTTTCAGATGTCTGATGCTCTTATGTCATTTCAGGAAAGAACACCAGGAAAAATGTAAACATATTTTACATAAAATACCATAAAACCCTCTAGATTTCTGTTGCCTTATTATTTCAGCAGGCTTTCTTAACTTTCTTTTTTCCTTTCTAACTTTTATTTTGGGTTCAAGCAGTACCTGTGCAGGTTTGTTACATGGGTAAATTGTGTGTCGTAGGGGTTTGATGTACAGATAATTTTGTCAGCCAGGTAACTGGCATAATGCTGGAGAAGTGGTTTCAATCCTCACTCCCCTCCCTCCCTCCACCCTCAAGCAGGCTCCAGTGTTATTGTTCCCTTATTTGTGTCCATGTGTAGTCAATGTCTTAACTTGTTTAGTAGCTGAACAAGTTAGTTGCACTTAGACTTGCAAAACGAACTATATGCCTATTTTTTCCATTTAAAAATAGAAACTGAGGCAGAGAGGCAGGTTTTTCAAATCAACTTTAATTAATCTGTTTTCTCTATGTGTGATGTTTCATTCATATGTCAGTAAGTTTCCATGTATATACTTTCTTGATGTGAAATATTAGGCTGGTGCGTATGTTTTTGATAATAAATTTTATAATATCCTCTAAGATCTTTTAGATCTAAGTCTCCTCAAAGTTGGCTTATATTTCTAAAATAAGTGATACATTTTGTACATTCTTGTACAAAAGTTAGCCAATAGCACATTTCACTTTTCTAGTATCAGAATGCTCCAGTACTACAGTTTGCATTTAGGCAATGAGGATTTGTAAACATTCTGAATTAAGACCCTTCAAAAAAACTGTTTCACAATCTTAGAGTAAAAATATTATCATATGACTTAAACTTTTCCAGTTATTTACACAGAAAGTTGTGATAGTTTGTGGGATCCCAAATATATCAAAGAACTTTTCTTTATTATTTTGCCCTGTGATTCCATAGTTAAAGCTGCCCACTCACCCTAAGATTTCCTAAGTAAGAGGAAGCACTCAAGAATTTATTCCCTAAACAAGATGGTCTATTAAAGAGTACTATAATCTCCACGACTAGACATAAAATAAGGGTTACTCAATTTAAAATGTAATATATTCATGCAGATTCTAATAACATTGGAAGAAGAAAAAGTTTAAAATAAGTATGAACACAAATCACTATCTTGAATGCATCATTATTATTGAGTCTGTATGAAGGGACAGAAGGCATAGCTATTTTGGGGGGGAGCTATCACAAGATTAGTTTTTAAGAGAATGGTAACAGATCCATGTGAATATGTTTAGGAGGCATTTAAATATAGAAATGAAGCTTAGAATGTGATAAAAATGAAGATGTACATCAGGTAATTATCCCCTAAAACAATTTTTAACTATCTTTTTTTTATTTTTTAGATCTTAATCTGTTTCCTGTCTTAAATATTCTAACTATGGATGAAGAAAATGTATTTGAATGCTATAGGTTCTAGACTGAAACAAATCATGTAGACTAAGGATCTAAAACTACTGTTTGAGGGCATATGTGAGAAGATCTAAATAGGCAACTCAGTTTGCCAAGAAAGAAAATGTGCAGAGATAAATAAAGGAAACAAACTTGCAGGGAGAGTAAGA
Organism: Homo sapiens; assembly: GCF_000001405.40. Lineage (NCBI taxonomy): Eukaryota > Metazoa > Chordata > Mammalia > Primates > Hominidae > Homo > Homo sapiens. Next base: position 135,500,669 of record NC_000004.12, on the reverse strand, counting down.
ACAAGCAGGCAACTTTGCTTTCTGCATGTTCCCATCTTCCAGTCCGAAATTTCTGTGAGACCTAGTTATGATTATTTGGGAGGGAAATGTCTTAATTACCATTAATTCTCCCAGCAAGAGATGTCCCACTAAACAAAGTTTGCTAACTTATATTATCACATGCTTAATTATTTTAAAATTGAAACTCACAGATAATTGAAACTGGATGACAACATTTGGGGAAAAATACTTAATGTAGATGATGTTTCTTGGAGTTTATTCTCACACACTAGTCCTGAAAGTTACCTGTCCCCTTAAAAATTGGGTATACTGCATAAATTAATTATGAGATATCTCGTACTCTATGTCACTCCTTGAGACAAAAGGTACCAAAGCACACATGATAGGGAGCCACCAGTTTGGAAAACCACGTGTGCTTTCAGTTGTCTCCCCTTTTTCTTTCTTTTCTGCTGTTTATCACTTAGGTGTAGTGAAGTTTGACCACCTGACAAACTAGAAGACTTGCTGAAAGAGTTCTTAGGAAAATGTTCTGATGCTTATTGGGACTTTATGCAAATGGAATAAAAGCAGGAATGATCTCACACCATGAGTTTTGCTCAAAGTTGAAGACTGGTGCCTAAACTAAAACTGCTAGGACACATACTCTGTTTTTTTCTTGTCCTATGGAAACCTTTCTAGTATGGCTGATGGTTTTCAGTCATTTTCATTATTTAGATGTCATGTACATCATATGATTTTCTAGATGACAGTAATATAATTTAAAAAACATAAAGACTTTCCTTCTTTCCTTATCTTGATAGTACACAAATTCATGAATGTAAATATTTTAATGAAGAAAATGGAGTTAAATAAAATGGTTTACTAACTAGAAGATATCTCTTAGTAGAATCAATTATAAAATATAACAACATTTTATGAAAAAGAAAACATGTACAACTTTGGTAAACAACACAAGCTAATTTTTACTTTTAAAATACTTTTAAAATTATGATCAACAGCTAGCAATATGAAACTGATATCTACCAGGAACATTCCTAGGTATTTGTGATTACTTTAAACAAAAAAATTCAAAAAAATAATTATTACATTCAAAGTTGATAACCTAGAGAGAATGCTTGTAAAAGTTAAGAAACTTTAGAAATAGGCAGTTATAAATAGCTCAATTTCCCGTACTTGGGTCTAAGGTAAAATCATCACTTTTCTCAATGTTTCCACAAAAACAGTTGAATTGTTATATTATCTTAATAGTTTGTAAATAGACCTCAAATTACCCCTTTTTATAGTGCTACATTTTATCCTACAAAAGAGTAGTTACGTAGAAGAATGACAATAAATGATGATGAAGACACACCAAATGTGAAGCATACAGGCACACCTCATTTTATTATGCATCAGTGTATTGCACTTTGTAGATATTACATCATTTAGAAATTGAAGGTCTGCGGCAACCCCGTGTTGAACAACTATATTGGTGTCATTTTTTTTTCAATGGCATGTGCCCATTTTTTGTCTCTGTGTCACATTTTGGTAATTTGTGCAATATTTCACACATTTTTATTATTAATATATTGGTTATGGTGATCTGTGATCAATAATGTTTGATATTACTATTGTAATTGTTCTGAGGCGTCATGAATTGCCTCCACATAAGATGGCAAACTTAATCGATAAATGTTGTGTATTGTTATTGCTTCAATGACTGGCCATTTCTCTGTCTTTCCCCTTTTTCTTGGGCCTTCCTATTCCCAGAGATACAACACTATTAAAATTAGGCAAATTAGTAATCTTAGAATGGCCAATAAATATTCAAATAAAATGAAGAGTTGTACATGTATTACTTTAATCAAAAGCTAGACATGATTAAACCTGGTGAGGAAGGCATGCCTAAAGCCAATATAGGTGAAAAGCTATGCCTCTTGTGCCAAACCATTAGCCAAGTTGTGAATGAAAAGAAAAAGTTCTAGTAAAACATTAAAAGTACTTATTAATTAGTTCAGCCATTGTGGAAAGCAGTGTGGCGGTTCCTCAAAGATCTCAGAAAAAAATTAACATTTGACCCAGCAATCCCATTATTAGGTATGTACCCAAAGGAATATAAATCATTCTACCATAAAGACACATGCACACATATGTTCACTTCAGCACAATTCACAATAGCAAAGACATGGAATCAACCTAAATGTCCATCAGTGGTACACTGGATAAAGAAAACATAGTACATATACACCAAGGAATACTATACTGCCATATAAAAGAATGAGACCATGTCCTTTGCAGCAACATGGGTGGAACTGGAGGCCATTATCCTAAGCAAACTAACACAAGAACAAAAGACCAAATACTACATGTTCTCACTTATAAGTGGGTGCTAACCAACAAGAACACATGGATACTAGAAGGAGAACCACAGACACTGGGGCCTACTTGAGAGTGAAGGATAGGAGGTGGGAAGGCATCAAGAAAATACTTATTGAGTACTATGCTTATTACCTGGGTAACAAAATTGTATGTGCACCAAACCCTCATGAAACACAATTTACTTACATGGCAAACCTGCACACATATCCTGGAACCTAAAATAAAAGTTAAAACAAGAAAAATAAAAAAACTCCTGAAGCTTAAAAATATATGTGTGTGTGTGTGTGTGTGTGTGTGCGTGTGTATGTCTCCAGTGAGTACACAAATGATAAGAAAGTGAAACAGCCTTTTTGCTGACATGGGGAAAGTTTTAGTGGTCTGAATAGAAAATCAAACCATCCACAACATTCCCTTAAACTAAAGTCTAATGTGGAGCAAAAACTTAACTTTTGTTTTAATCCTCTGAAGGCTGAGAGGGGTGAGGAAGCTACAAAAGACAAGTTGAAGCCTAGCAAGTTTGTTTTATGAGGTAAGGGAATAAGCCATTTCCATAACAAAGAATGCAGGTGAAGCAATAGGTGCTGATGGAAAAGTTGCAGCAAGTTATCCAAAAGATGTTGCTAAGATAATTGATGAAGGTGGCTCCATTAAATATTAGATTTTTACTGTACATAAAACAGCCTCATATTGGAAGAAGTTGCCATCTGGGACTTTTATAGCTAGAGTGGAAAAGTCAAAGTCTGGGTTCAAAATTCAAAGGTAAGGCTGATTTTTTTTGTTAGAGGCTGATGCAACTGCTGACTTTAAATTGAAGTGAATACTGATTTATCATTCTGAAAACCCCAGAACCCTTAAAAATTGTGCTAAATCTACTCTGCCTGTGCATTATAAATGGAACAACGAAACCCAGATCACAGCACATCTGTTTATAGCATGGTTTACTAAATATGTTAACTCCATTGTTGAAACATACTAATAAAAAAAAGAAAAAAAAGATTTTTTTTCCAAATATTAATGCTCTTTGAAAATGCACCTGGTCACCTAAGAGCTCTGATGGAAATGTACCAGTAGATTAATGTTGCTTTCATGCCTGCTAACAGTGAATCAAGGAATAATTTAGACTTTCAAGTTTTATTATTTATAAGATGCATTTCAGAAGACTGTATGTTCCACAGAGAGTAATTTCTCTGATGAATATGGGAAAACTAAATTTAAAATCTATTGGAAAGGATTCACCATTCTAGATGCCTTAAGAACATTGGTGATTTGTGGGAGAAAGTCAAAATATCAACTACAATAGGAGTTTGGAAGAAGTTGATTCCAATCCATGTGGATAATTTTAAAGGGTTCAAGTTTCCAGCAAAGGGAGTAACTTAAGATGTGGTAGAAATATTCAAACAACTGGAATTTGAAGTGGAGCCTGAAGATGTAATTGAATTGCTGCAATCTCATGATAAAACTTTAATGGGTGAGGGGTTGCTTCTTATGAATGAGGGGGAAAAGTGGTTTCTCAAAATGGAAACTATTCCTGGTGAAGCTGTTATGAGAATTGTTGGAATTAACAACAAAAGATGTAGAATATTACATAAACTTAATTGATAAAGCTACAACAAGGTTTGAGAGGATTGACTCCAATTTTGAAAGAAGTTTTACTATGGGTAAAATGCTGTCAAACAGCATCATATGCTACGGAGAAATCTTTCATGAAAGAAAGAGCTAATTGATGTGGCAAACTTCATTTCTGTCCGTTTTTAAGAAATTGCCACAGTCACCCCAACCTTCAGCGACCACTGCGTTGATCAGTCAGCAGCCATCAAAACTGAGAAAGACACTCTACCAGCAAAAAGATCACGAATAGCTGAAGGCTCAGATGATTGACTTTTTAGCAATGAAGTATTTTTTAAATTAAGGTATGTACATTGTTTGTTTAGACATAATGCTATTGAATACTTAATAGTCTACAGTATAGGGTCTGGCGTGGTGGCTCACGCCTGTAATCCCAGCGCTTTGAGAGGCCAAGGTGGGCAAATCACAAGGTCAGGAGTTCGAGACCAGCTTGGCCAACATGGTGAAACCCCGTCTCTACTGAAAGTACAAAAATTAGTTGGGCATGGTGGTGAGAGCCTGTAATTCCAGCTACTCGGGAGGCTGAGGCAGGAGAATTGTTTGAACCCAGGAGGCAGAGGTTGCAGTGAGCCCAGATTGCGCCATTGAACTCCAGCCTGGGAAATGGGGCAAGACTCCGTCTCAAAAAGAAAAAAAAAAAATAGTTTACAGTATAATGTAAACAAAACTTTCATCTGCACTGGGAAAACAAAAAAAAACTTTATGTGACTTGTTTTATTGTGATATCTGCTTTTTTGAGGTTATCTGGAACTGGACGCACAATATCTCCAAGATATGGATGTAATAACTATTTGTGGTATATTGTCTTGTTCTCAAATTATTAGTAGTCTTTCCAGTTGAGCCCCTTTCTGGGATCCCTCTTGGAGGAAGAATTATTGCCTGCCCTATTGATGTCAGGCCTAGGCATGTGACAGGATTTGGAAAATAAACTGAAGTGTGCATTTCTGATTTAAGAGTCGTTGTGTGGCCCCACTAATTCTTTTTACTCTGCCCTTTCCTATATGTATGCCGCTCCTCAAGCTTTAGTCCTGGCCCGCAAATGATGTCAGGCAGAGTTAAAACTAAGCCAGGATTGCCATTCGCTGTGTAAGGGGAATTTTTTTTTTTTTTTTTTGGTGCCCCAGAAAGATTTCAAACTTAAACTGCAGCATAAACCAGAGAAAGCAGATTGATAGATTCATCAATGTAAATGATTAGCTTTATTTTTCCAGTGACTGATTTTAGGAATCTGTATCTGATTCCATTTAGAAATTGTGCTGGAAGACTTCTGGGAAAAGTTCCTTTGCTCCAATTAGGAGACACTGAAGATAAAGGAAATGGCCTCTATCCTTCTTCTGGTGCCCTTAACGTTAATTCCTGGAACTCCTACAACCATCTCATAACAATCATGGAGGAAGGCAAACCCTAGAGATTCACAGAAAACCAGAACTGAATCTCTAATTCACTTGGCTTGAGGTCTGCCTTATCTCTAGTCTATTTGAAGTGAAATAATCAATCCCTTTATTTTTAAAGGCAATTTGATTTGTTTGGCATTGCTTTCTTATATTAGAATGTAGTGTGAGCATTGTATATAACTATAGTAAGAGGCGTTTCTATATAGGTGCAATAGAATTTATCTTAAAATGTTACTTTTAAGTCAATTGTTACATTTTATAATTTAAAAATAACAAAAAAACCTATTTCCACGAAATACCGTTTTACCTCAATTCCTGTGCTTGAGCCTGTTGTTTTCATTGTAGTTGGCTGCATAAAATCTAATAGCTGTGAGAAAGCAGCTTTCAGAGAAGCTCAGTAACATTGCCAGATAATTTATTTCGGAAAATAATGTGCAAAGTAACTACTTCTTTCTTTCTTTTTGTTCCTTTTTGAGGTAAACACTTTAAAGGTGTTCCCATTTCATAATCACAGCATTAAAGATTTTGTTGGTGGAAGTCTTTGTGAGGATTTTCAATTTTACAGCAGCTTATAAGTGATTGGCAATGAGTTGTGCAGAGCCCTACAACTTTGAGGATATACAGCACTCCACTTGGCAGAGATAGATGCTATGCTTCAAAAAAATTTCCTGTGTTAAAAATGCAAATTAGCATAATATTTTTCTGACTTCAAATTAATTTAACAAGTTGTTGAATATTCAAAGATAAAATGTAGAACACAGTTTGCTTTATAAAAAGCACAAAATTCACCTAAATTATGGTTCTCTATATGCCACCTAACTTGTTTCATATTTGTATAACTCATGGTTGTTGGTGAGGTTTGAATTAGTGTTTTATATCCACACTCACATCAGCTTACTATGGAGGAGTAAAATATGAACAATTTGGGCACACTTGAAGCTTCTGGAGAAGTAAGTTATAGTCCTTTGTGAAAAGAAACTTGGGGCTCACGCCTGTAATTCCAACACTTTGGGAAGCCAAGGCTGGCTGATCTCTTGAGCCAGGAGTTCGAGACCAGTCTGGGCAACATAGTGGAACTCCATCTGTACGAAACAATAGAAAAATTAGCCAGGCATGGTGGCATGTCCCTGTAGTCCCAGCTACTCAGGAGGCTGAGGTGGGAGGACCACCTGAGCTCAGGGAGGTCAAGGCTGCAGTGAGCCATGATTACACCACTGCACCCTTGTCTGGGAGACAGAGTGAAAGCCTGTGCCATAAACCAGGGAAAGCCTGCCTGTCGTTTACCCTATGCTGTAAAATTGTATAATTAAAAATAAAAAAGAAAAGAAAAGAAAAAAAGAAGTTTGTTCCAATTTAATGGAAAATTGGTTTTCAAGGACAGGACAGAAATTCTGGGAAAAGACACCTTGAAAGTAATTAAGATTAATTATAAGCAGGCTAGGGAAATTCCAGACTAAAGAATGTGCCATTTATTGATGGCAAACTATAGACGAGTTCTGTCACTGATCATAGCCATGAAGTCTCAATGCCAGCTTCATGGGAGGAGTCCCACACAGGGCTCCCCAGTCAGAAGGGCTTGTGTTTGGCTTAATAATGCTCCATTGTTGCCATCTCGAAATTTTTAATACTTTTTGAACATGGGGCCCTACATTTTTATTTTGCAATAGGCCCTTAAAATTTTGTAACTAGCCCTGCCTCGCTATATGTTAAGACTTAAAATGTAAAAATCAGGCAATAAAATCAAAAGTTGTGTTGAGAAAGGATTATTGTGTTTAATATTGTGTATTAACTAAAATAGAAGTTAGTCTATGTTTATATTATTATCTACAAAATGAAATTTTAAAAAAACACACATTCTATGTTCTTGGATGCCATCTTGATGAAGAGGAGTAAAATGTTTACGAAAGATGTTCTGATTTTTTCCTTTTGCAAATATTTATGGTAAAAACTTTACTTTAGCCAGGCACAGTGGCTCATGCCTGTAATCCCAGCACTTTGGGAGGCCAAGGTGGGTGGATCACGAGGTCAAGAAATCGAAACCATCCTGGCCAACATGGTGAAACCCCGTCTTTACTAAAAATACAAAAATTAGCTAGGCGTGGCGGTACATGCCTGTAGTCCCAGCTACTCAGTAGGCTGAGGCAGGAGAATCACTTGAATCTGGGAGACGGAAGTTGCAGTGAGCTGAGATCGTGCCACTGCACTCCAGCCTGGCGACAGAGCAAGACTCTGTCAAAAAATAATAATAATAATAAAATAAAAAATAAAAAAAAACACTTTACTTTAAATTTTAATATAGATACTGTCTCTTCTGAAGTAAGAATTTTTACAGTAGGGAAGGCAGTAATCAGCAAATCAGTAAACAAGCAAACAAAAAACACCAAAGAAGTACATACCATAAAAATTGTGTTGATTAAATAATTATTAAATGTCTTCTGCATTTGCCTATGTCCTAACAAAATACACAGATTGGGTGGCTTAAACAAACAAACAAACAAGCAAAAAGATATTTTCACAGTCTGGAGGCTAGAAGTCCAAGATCAAGACGTCAGCCAATTTGGTTTCTCCAGAGGCCTCTCTCTTTGGCTTTCAGGTGGCTGCCTTCTTACTGCATCCTCATGTGTTCTTTCCTCTGAGCAAGAGCACTCCTGGTGGCTTGCTCTCTGTGTACAGATGTCCTCTTCTTATAAGGACACTGATCTAGATTGGATTGGGGCCCACCATAATGACCTTGTTAATTTAATCATCTCTTTAAAGGTCCTATCTCCAAACACAATCAACATTATAAGGTACTAGGGATTTTGGCTTTCACATATGAATATCGGTAGGACACAATTCTGCCCATAACTACTTCTATGTGGCACACATTTCCCTATGCTCTAGAATTGGAAAGAGGATAATAGTGGAAATAGATCTATAAAGTCATAATGACCATAAATGCTCTATGAAGTAGAACATACAATAGACAAAATATTTTTGTTCCTTTGAGGGATCTAAATAACACATAAAATTAAATACATAAAATTAATATTTATCCTGACCATGGATAAATACATAAAATTAGTATTTATTCTGATGATGGATAAATACTAATACACTGAAAAGAAAAAGCATTCCATGTATTAGAATTACAGGAGAAATAAAGTGTAAAAGTCCGCTTTTAAAATGAATAATAGTGGACTCTCTCTGAATATAGTGCCCTGAAGGGAAAAGCAGGTAACAAATAAAATGTAGGCTAGAAACATAATTTATTCAGAATTTACCCTGAAATGGGAGAGTCCATGCTAAAGAAATAAGAAGAAGACTGTGTAATTATATAATCCTAATTTCAAAATGGAACTATGTTAATTGAGTAAAATTGTACAAATATTTTAATATGTGTGAGTGATATGGTTAGGCTTTGTATCCCCACCCAAATCTCATCTTGAATTGTAATCCCTATTATCCCTATAATCCTCATGTGTCAAGGGAGAGACAGGTGGAGGTCATTGAATCATGGGGGTGTTTTTCCCTATGCTGTTCTCATAATAGTGAGTGATTTCTCACGAGATCTGATGATTCTATAAGGGGCTCTTCTCTCTTAGCTCGGCATTTCTCTTTCCTGCCGCCTTGTGAAGAAGGTGCCTTCCTTCCCCTTCACCTTCTGCCATGATTGTAAGTTTCCTGAGGCCTCCCCAGCCATGCAGAACTGTGAGTCAATTAAACTTCTCTCTTTCATAAATTACCCAGACTCTGGTAGTTATTTACAGCAGTATGAAAATGGACCAATACAATGAGCCATCCTTTCCTTTCCTGAATAAATCAAAACAATAATATTCTGAGAGAGGCACCACTCCTTTCAAATATCAATTCTCTTATCCTTCTGCAGTAGGTATCTCGATTTTTATCTTGGCAAATTGCTGCCCAAGTACAAGAACACTTTATCTAGTTTCTACTGCAACTGTGTTTGGTCTATGTTCAAGGTTTGGCCATTCCCAGGTAAGTGAAAGTGTTTAGTGCAGTTTCCTGGAAAAGTTCTCAAAGGAGAGGCTGCACATTTTACCTCTATATCCAACCTTAAAGTGTGAAGCAAATATGATGGCTGAAGCTCCAGCAGTCATCTTGGACCATAAGAGTCAAGGACATATCTTAGGAACTGTAGACTGGAGAATTGGAAGCAGCCTGGGTCACTGCAGTTTGTGGAGCCAAGTCAGTACACCATAATATACCCATACTTGCCTTTTCTACTTCTGGACTTCTGTTAGGAGGAATTGACAAACCTTTATCTGTGTTAAATCTCTGCTAATTGCATTTTTGGAACTTCTGTTGTATTGAATCCATTTTATATTTACATTGTTGATACAAGGGTATGTTAATGAAAAATGGCTAACTTTTTTGTTTTCTGATAAGCAAAGGTTTTTTAAGGTGAGATATTGGCACTATAATAAAGCAGTTAACAAATAATAACTTTAGGAATTTGCAAAAATATATCCATGTGGGATAAAAGGGGGCAAAGAGATCTTTAGAAGGTCTCAGAGTCTAAGACATGAGAATATAAAAAAACATATTTTAGGTGGATCAGTCAGGCAGTGAAATATTGAGGCAATGTGATTCATATAATGTAGAAATAAAATAAGAGAGCACATTGTTAAGCAAGCAACCATTAAATACCAAGGCTGAGTGGATAGAGAGGAAATATTCAGGTGGCATTGGCAAGAACCTTAACTTCTCAGGAAGCAGGGACAAAGACCAAGTCAGGGTAACAGAAACATCAAGACTGGCCACATCCATTTAAAAATCAAATTGTGTAAGTGGTTTAGATAAGTTAGAGGATTTTTATACTTAATAAATGGTAAATATTTTTTCATTACTCAGTAAGAATACTCTGTTTTATTTAGTATATGACAAAACTAAAACTCTGCATTTGATTAGAAACCTAAGCTAAAATTTTGTTTTATATATGTATATATTTATTTAGATGCCTGTGTAATTCATTGCTGATGTATAACTTACTGGTTACCCTGGACACTGAAGTATTCCTCAAGCATCTCACAAAATCAGTGACAAAATTGGGATCGTGACAGACAATGAAATTGCTGTGTAAACTATGAAGTGCTAAAGCCAATTAAAATATCTCTATTACTATCTTGTTTTCTGAAATGCAGTTTCCTCATTGTAACCATTGACTAGCTCCATTGGTTGGGTGTTTTTGATTATTTAATGACTACATGCCTATTAAGGTGACATGGAATATTATGAGATGTCATGCAAATGCTGAGTATTTTGAAATACTTGCTAGGATTATTATTTCATGCTTTATGATTATGATTTACTGTAGCACAATATGTATTCATGTTTTGTTTTTCTTTGATGTATCTTATCAGGTCTAAAAAGGGAGAATGTTCATAGATTAATCTATTCATTGGTGATGATTTACAAATTTTGTGGTAAAATATAGGCATCAATGGAATACTACTACTAGTGTTTTATTAAAAGAAAAGGTTTTATCAACCAAGGGGAGTAAAAGGATTTTTGCTATCATTTCCTGAAGGCAACTATTGATTAATGTTTCTGTATTTACAGAAAGCAGACGGACTCTTTAAAAACTTATTTGCAAAACAAATATCATATTTACCTTGTGTCTGTACTTCATAGGAAAAGGGGAGATTCCTCCAAAAGGGCTCTACTAGCAAGAAACCTGGAAACTAATGAAATAGGAAAAAAATCAAGACATAAAAACATCAATAAACTTTATTAGATCGAAGCTTCTGTACAAAATTCATTAAAGAAAGTTTCAAAAGTAATGAAAGACACAAAAAAATTAGATCAGTTGAATTTCATGAAAATTAAGGAGTATTGTGCTTTAGAAAACACCAAGAAGAAAGTAAAAGGACAACTAGCAAATTTAGATAAAATATTTGCAAATCATGTATCTGATAAGGGAAGTATTTATGTAGTATACAAAAAAAACTATACAATTCAATGCTAAAAATACAAGTAGCTTAATTTTTAAAATGTAAAAAGGATCTAAAACATTTCTTCAAAGAAGATACACAAATGGCCATCAAGCGCATGAAAAGATGCTCAATGTCAGTAGCTTCAGGAAATGCAAGTCAAAATCGCTGTGAAATACTACTTCGCCCTGACTAGAAGAAGGACTGTCATCAAAAAGCCAAACAATAAGTGTTGGAGAGCAGGCAGAAAAATTAGAACTCTCATGAACTGTTGGGAATATAAGAAGTGGATAAGGTTAAAATTCCAAGCTTTCAGTGAAAATATAAGCACAAGCATAATCTGTTATAGTGAAAGTATGAAGGAATATTCAATTTTAAATGACTGCTGTTGAAAATAATTATAGCTAGTTGGAGACACAGAAAATATATTTAATATCTCATATATCAGAGGCCAATAATGGATATGATATATAAATAATATTCCCGCTAACGATTCACATCCTCCCATGCGATAAAAGCCAACATAGAACCAGCTCAAATTACTTTTTTTTTTTTTTTTTTTTTTTTTGGAGATGGAGTCTCACTCCGTCACCAGGCTGGAGTGCAGTGGCTTGATCTTGGCTCACTGCAGTCTCCACCTTCTGGGTTCACATGATTCCCCTGCCTCAGCCTCCTGAGTAGCTGGGACTACAGGCGCACACCACAACGCCCAGCTAATTTTTTGTATTTTAGCAGAGATGGGGTTTCAATATGTTGTTCAGGATGGTCTTGATATCCTGACCTCGTGATCTGCCTGCCTCAGTCTCTCAAAGTGCTGGGATTAAGGCTTGAGCCACTGCGCCCGGCCTCAGCTCAGATTCCAAAAGAAATTAGTAGGACAGATATAAGTAAACTTTAAGAAACTGTTGATAGCAGGAATTCTCACATTTGATGAGGTCCTGGAATGGAGTGATGAAAAGTTGAAGAATATGGTGGCAAAGAAAATAGGACACTGCACATCCAGTTTATTAAACAGATTTTTTATTAAACTTTTTAGCCCTCAGTTTTCAATAAAAGTTCATTTGCAGAAAAGTTTTATCTTTCTAAAACTGTCACTTCAGTGGCCAGCCTGGAATGTTGGTAGATTCATAGTTTTACAGACCTATCCAGTTTTGTTGTCTGGTTCTTGATTATATGTCAATGGTCAGAGCTAAAAATGGAATAATAACTAATGAATCATCTTGACAGGTAAAAATACTATACAGTGATTTATAATGGTATTTGCTTATGACAAATTTTTTCCAGAATTGTCCCTAACTCAGTTGTTTTCATTGTGTCAGGTTTCATGAAGAAAAATAATATTGCTTAGAAACATTAAATTTCTTTATACTTAATGTTGATGCCATCAAGTAGTTCTTTATAAGACTGAACATAACTAGAATTTGAATTACTTATAACTCTTGCTTAAGTAGAATAGTTTAAACAAATCTTCAAAGAAAAGCCAAATCACTTTTGGTTTATTAATATGTCAAAGTGACTAAGAAAAATGGAGCATTTGATGGTGATATAACTTTCGTATCATCATTGAACTTTCAGTGCTGTTGACCTTAGCACAATATAGTACTAAAACAAAGATGTCTTTCTTCACACTTCCCAGATATCATTTGAAATAAGTAATGGGATACACACATGAGGTAAATTATTAAAAAATTATTTATATCAATTAGAAACCTTCCATTTTGGTAGACAAAATGCATCTTGAACTAAAGCCACAAAAAGGAGAATGTAGTGGCGCAACAAAATTTACCCATGAAAAGAGAGATGAACGTGAAGTCAGGTTCAATCAGTTGAGAGATTTGAATAGATGCAGAATTTCTCCTTCATTTCATATTTCTGTTGTTCTTTGTATTTTATCACCTTTTTGTCCTGGTAAAGATAGGTAGTTGAGTCCTAGTCTATGTATGTAACAATAACAGTTGGAAGTTCTGGATTTGTATCGAGCCAACTCAGAGACTAAAAGTAAAGAAGACTTCTCTTGACACCTTAATACATGAAATTCCAGAAATTGAGCGTGGTTAGCTTTGAGGAGATTTTGCCACTCAGGCTCTATCAATCACTGTGGGTTATAGTGTTTGTCCCAGACTAGATTGCTTGTAATTCATATGGAAATACTACGGGCCCAGAATAGTCAAATCAATGTTGAAAAGGAAAATGGATTTCATCACTCACTACAAAACTACAGTAATGAATACAGTAAGGTACTGGCATAAAGACAGACATATGAATCAATGGTGTACAATTGAGAGTGAAAAATAAGCTCTTGACTTTATAGTTAGCTGATTTTCAGCAAAAATGCTAAGAAAATTCAATGGGAAAAATAATTTTTTTCAACAAATTATGCTGAGACAATTGGTTTCTACATTCAAAAAACAAATTTGGAGTGGTTTCACATCACAGAAAAAAAGTTATCTGAAAGTGCATGGCTGATCTAAATGTAAAAGCTATGGTAAAACCTTTAGAAGTGAACATTTATAAGCTTAGGTTGTGCGGCAGGCAGAGGTTACAATGAGCTGAAATTGTGCCACTGCACTCCAGTCTGGGCAAAAAAGAGAGACTCCATCTTGAAAAAAATATATATATATAATCTTGGGTTAGGCAATGATTTCTTAGATATGATACCAACGAAACAAGTGATAATATAAAAATATTTCCAGAGTATACATCACAAGACTTATATCCAAAACAACAACAAAAAACTCTTACAACACAACAATAAAAAGACAGATAACTCAGTTAAAAATGAGCAAAGATCTGAAGATACATTTTTCTAAAGAAGATACATGTATGACTAATAAACACATGAAAAAGATGCTCAATATTATTAGCCATTAGGGAAATGCAAGTCAAAGCCACAAGATGTTCCTTCACACTGACAATGGTGTCTACAAGAAAAAAGACAAATAATATCGGGTGTTGGCAAGGATGTAAAACAACCAACACCTTTATACACTGTTGGTGAGAATGTAAAATGATACAGCCACTTATTAAAACAGTCTGTCAGTTTCTCAAAATGCTAAATGTTTACTTATCATAGAATCCAGCAATTTTACTCATAAGTATAATATATTCACAAGAGAAATAAAAATATATGTCCACACAAAGATTTACATATGAATATTCATAGGGATATTATTCACAATAGTAAAAAAAGCAGAAACAACTCAAATGTTTGCTAATTGATAAATAGATAAAGTTTGGCATACCCATACAAAAGCATAATATTCAGCAACATGAAGGAATGGAGTACTGATACATGTTACCACAAGGATGAACCCAAAAATCATTATGCTAAGTGAAAGAAGACACAAAATAACACGTAATATATGATTTTATTTATATGAAATACCAAAAATAGGTAAATATATAGAGATGGAAAATAAATTATTAGTTGCTTGGGGCTATGAATGAACACTTTTATTTTCTTTTCCTTTCTTTTATTTCTTTTCATTTCTTTAACTTAGGGTGGTGAAATGCTGAACATTTACATTATGATAATGATGTATAACTATCAATATATTGAAATTAATTGAATTGCACATTTAAAATAATCAATTTTATGATACATAATTTATCTTAAAAAACACTATTTTAAAAAGGCATAAGAATTCTACATGAGACACTATTTAAAATATCAATCACCACAAGAATGTTGCATAAAATACCACCTCGCACTCAGTGTCTTAAAGCAATATGCATTAATTTAGGTCATGAGTTGGCAGGCCAACTCTGTGGAACCTCTGGCATCAGATTAGCTGATTCATGTGTCTGTGGTTATCTGCAGTACAGCCAGGTGGCTGCGTTGATCTTGGCCAGACGTTGAACACCCTGTCTGGGGGTTGACTAGTTTTCCGATTGCCTAGGATGGACTCAGGTCTATGTTCTTCTCCCTCCTGCAAGGTAGCTCAAGCACATTTTAATGATAGTGGCAAGCAGAAGGGGAAGTAAAAATGCACAAACAGCTTTTCAAGGTCCTACTGCACATGTCTCATTGTCAAATCACATGGCCAAATTCATAAACAAGAAACAAGAAAATACACCCAACTTTCTGACAGGGGAAGCTACAAAATAACTTGATAAAGCTAATTATATTGGAAAAGACAGGAAACAAAGATACAGGACATGAAATGTAGGGCCAAATTCAAAAAAATAAATCAATCTATTCTCAAGATACCTTTTAAGTAGGTTGCAAAATAAAATTACAATGAACTTTCTTATTTATGAATCTCTTTCTCTCATAAACGCACCAAACACAAACACAACAGAGTAAAAACAAAGTAGGGAGACAGATTTATGTATCAGAGTGGTTATTTTCAGTGAGAGGATCCAAAACGATACAATACTATTAGCATAATATTATTCGTTTTTAATATTGTTACATATTCTGTGTATTTCTATATATTTCTATATGTATATATATTTCTATATATAATATTGTATATTTATTATATTTCAAATTCCTTCAATTAATATACATTAGTTATAATTTTTACAAAACAATTTCATATTAGCAATGGTTTTAAATAAGAATGATATATGTTTATCCTTAATGGCTTAAAAATTACCTAAAATATTAAACATAGAAAGGAAAACAATATTTCTGAAATCAATTGCCCTATTTACTGATAGGTAGGAAACTGTGCATCAAGAAATCTAAGAGAGCTGAACATGGCGGCTCATGCCTGTAATCCTAATACTTTGGTAAGCTGAGGCAGACGATCAGTTCAGGCCAGGAGTTTGAAACCAGCCTGGTGATCATAGCAAAACCCCAGCACATGGTGGCTTGTGCCTGTAATCCCAGCTGCTTGGGAGGCTTAGGTGGGATAATGGCTTGAACCCTGAAAGTGGAGGTTGCAGTGAGCTGAGATCACACCACTGCACTCTAGCCTGGGAAACAGAGCAAGGCTCTATCAAAAAAAGAAAGAAAGAAAGAAGAAAGAAAGAGAGGAAGGAAGGAAGGAAGGAGAAGAAAGCGAAAGAAAGAAAAATAAAATAAATACAAGAGATTTGACTTAGGTAAAATAGCTAAAAACGTTTCACCAGGATAATCTGATCTTCTGAATAATTTTATTTTTGTTTTTAACATTAAAATAGATATTTTTTGTCATCTGGCAGGCTGGAAGTTTTAATAATGCTCTAGTCTATATGCAAACAGTAAGAATTAACAGTGATATGCATTTTCTATATATATTCTGTATTACTATGCTCTGATAAAGCAGATGATTTTATATGTTAAAGTTTATGTATTATGTTTATGTATTTTCTTAGTATACTTAGAAAATACACTATGTAAGTCACATCATATCTCTTACATTTCTCATCTAACCTGGGGCAGAAACTCAATCAATAACTTAGAGTATAATCCTCCATTAAAAAAAAAATTCCAACACTGGATCATCAAATCATCTTATAAAATATAAAAAATGATTAAAATATAAATATCAAAATCAGTGGTTGTACACTAAACAATGAAAATGATTATATAAATATATATGTTTTTATGCATTTTGCCTTTGAGAAACTACCAAGAAATTAATTGGTCACATTTCTTTAGCTGTGGTATCTCATTGGTAACATTTTTTTCTTTCTGCAACTTGGACACTTCAGATAGTATTTGTAATTTTTATGCAGAACTATAGTAATATATTCATTACATTATTAATTCATTCATATGTTCTACAAATATGTATCAAGTACCTACCATATGCTTGGCACCAAGACAGGATCTGGGTCATAAACAAAACACACATGTTGCCTAACCCCTGATGTTTATAGACATTGCTCCAAGACCTCATAAAGAGAGATGATGATTTTGTTTAGCCAGAAAGTCTGGACTTTAAGGGAAAAGTTAGGTAATGTTTAAGTACCCCAACACTACTGACAATAAGGGTTATAAAAATAATATAGTTTAGTAAATAGGGGGATAGATTATGGATATAAACATAATAATAAATTATGGATATAAACATAATAATTATGTAATATATATAATGTAAAACTCATCAAAATATGAAGCCTTTAATAATGAAACTTTAATCAAAGTAATAGTATTTCTAAATTCATATATATTCAATCATTTAAACTTCAAGTTTTATTTCTATTGGGACTTGAAAGTTTTTATCTTTTAATAATAGTGTTAGAACATAGTGTTTTCAACATTTGTATTTTTAAAGAAGTAATATTTTACAGTGGATGCAATTGAATGTTCTCTAGAGTACCCTATTTAGTATAAATGAACATTTCAACTCTGTTACCTCAGCATCTAATACAATAAGATGAATTCAGTACATTTTTTCTTTATTTTTTAATTGCTGGAATGAATGACCTGCATTCCAGAAATATATTTGACCCTTAATATTGATGAGGTTACATATTCTTAAATCGGTGAACTAAGGTCCTTTCAAATCTTCATGCCCCTGGCTACAGATCCAAGAAAAAAAAGTTAAAGTTAATCTTGGAAGTTAGTTTTTTCAAGGTTCCAAGTGAAAGTAGCTTTGTTCTTTCATTTCATGATCCTAGCAGAGTTTTCTTCTCAGACAACACAATAGGAGGTCCCATTATATGGACTTACTGCTTTTTAAGCAATGCCCTAGGCATTGGATAATTGCTCATAAGATAAAGATCTACATTATAAATACTACATAAATCTTTTGTGTAATATTTTACAATTTATATTTTTGTACTTTATTATCTTTGAGCCCCCTACAGATGTTTTTCAAAACATTTACCTCCCCTTATATTTTCAAGGATCTAAAATATATAAAGGCTTCTCTGTTGGATGTCCACTATAGAATTCTCATTTAAAATATTTTTTTTTATTTCTTGTTTTGATTTATTTCAATTCAGCTATGTATCAAACGACAAATCAGTTGGTTGCTGACCTTTAAAAAAGTCCCAGTGCTTTAAGAGAAAACTGTAGGGAATCTGTTCAAAATACTGCTTATCTTATAATAACCCTGCAGCAGTTTTCTTTTGCAAACAATTTGTAAGACTGTATGTATTTTCGATAAAATTATATAACTAAATCATGCTGTTTTATTAACATATTTGTTCTGTTATCTGTGCTTCTGTCTTATTTTTCTGTGAATGTGTTATTTGTTGATTATTTTATGGAATTTGAAGGATAAAAAGGCAACATTATGCCCTGATAAGCTATACTAACCAAATCCTAAAATAATAGATATCTCAAAATTTTAAAAATATGTTGTTGAGGAAACAAAATGACTTCCAGAATGAAGTGAGGACCATGATGAACCAATCTCCCACAAAATAACTGCAATACTATCAAAACAAGGAAAACTGAACATTTCAGAAGTTCTGAAATTAATTCAACCATATAACAAACTTAAAATGGGAAATTGTCTCTCCAACAGAAATAACAATACTTCAGTAAAACAGCAAGGTATATGATGATTCAATTTGCGGAAACTTTTATCCCACTTTCTGCCCAGCTCAGTCGTCTGATAGCTGTGAAAATCCAGCAGTCTTGAAACAAACATAGAATAATGACCACTTTTGGAGCTCCACCAAAAGCATCTTCCACAGTCATTATTTTATCCAAAATATGAAATAGTGCTGTTAACTTTGGAAAATCATTTGGCAGTTCTTCAAAATATTAAACATTGAGCTACCATAAGACTCAACAATTTTACTCTAGGTACATACCCCAAATAAATAAAAAAATGTGTCTAAAAAATAACTTATAAAATATTCATAGGAGCATACTCATAATAACCAAAAGAAATAATCCAAATGTCCATAAAATGTTAAAAGAATAAACAAATATGGTATATCCATACAATAGATTATTTTGGCAATAGAAAAAAAGAATCTATATGTTCTACAACACGAATGAATCTTGAAAATATTATGTTGTGGACAAAAAAGCTCCTCACAAATCCGCATATTTTATATTTTTATTTATATGAACTGTCCATAATAGACAACTATGTTGAGACAAAGAGTAGATTATTGGTTGCTTTGGGTTTGGGAGGGGTTAGGAAATATGGAGAATCTGCCAATGTGTATGGGATTTCCTTTCTGAATAAGAAAAGTGTTCCGAAATTAGACGGTGCTGGTTGCACATCTCTGTACATGTAATTTTTAAAAATTGTACTGTATATTTTAAATAGGTATATTATGTAATGTGTAAATTATGTGTCAATAGGCCTCTTAATACAACAGAAAAAAAGAAAAATAATAACATTCGTATAGTAGAAAGACTTTCAGCAATTTTTCACATCTTTGTTAGAAAATGGTACAAACCCTGCAAGTTGCAACTGCAAAATGCAGAATATTGGGATACAAGTGTCATTTCCAAAATAACTGTTTACCTTTATTTGACATTAATTTTTGAAAGATGAACATTTTGACATTCTCTTTTATTTCTTCAGTAGCCCTGATGTAACACATACTGATTTCATTTGATTTTTTCAAATCTGGATTTGAACCGTCCATTTTTTACCTACGCCGGACTGCAGCGCTCTTAACTTGTGTGGATCACTCTCCAAAATCTCTTCCCTATTGCTCGTACCTTGAGATTCTTTCTTTTGATATAATCCTTAGAAAAGTAGAATTTCAGCAGACCATGTATACAAACACTATTTTCTTTTTATCACTAGGCAATATAAGTAATAAAATAGAATCATGGATTTAAAGAATCTTAGAAACACTCTTTCATATTTAGGTATCAGAACTTTTTATACAATATTTTATTTAAAATCATTTGGGATATATTACATAATAGGTTTAAGAAGAACATAAAGAATAGGAATTCCAGTACTATGTCCCACAAAGCACTGTCTGACAAGATGAATTTTTAAGCTAAAGGAAAAGTGTTCTAGGTTAAATGTGTTTGAATGAAATAAAAGGATCAAATGAAATTGAAATACTTTTTTTTCCACATGGACTTCCCAAACCATCTAAATGTATTAAAGTGAGTTTTGACTCTCAAGAAGGAAAATATAGTAGTTTCCAAATACATTTGACAGAGGAATTTTTCCCATAAACATCAACATCCTTAGGTGTTACAAAACATACTTTTAGAAAACATAAAATAATTTTTTTTTCAGTAAATCAATTCAGGAGTTCTAAATTTCTTAAAATCTAAGAAGTAGTCTATATGACCATCACTTTAATACAAATACTATATTTGATTTTATTTAATTATATTTGTATAAAAATAATACAATACATAATTTTATTTATGTATAAACATTCAACTGGTATAACAAGATGTTAACAACAGAAAAATTTCCCTTTCTCTTCAACTTTTATCTGTACATTCCTACTATTTGATAGCAAGTGTTAACAATTATTTAGCTCTTTATTCTACTCTTTATTTTCATATTTCTAAAATGTATTCTATATACTTATCCTGCTCTTCTTTTTTCCACAAAACTTGGTTGTTTATGTTAATCTCTGTCTACCATTCTACAGTTTCACTCTCTTTTATACACCCATTTTGCCCTAGTTATCTCATCAAACAGAAATATTTCCAGACACTTGAGTGGAAGTTCAAATAAATTAATAATTAAACCTTGCGTCTGCACCTTTATTACTTATTTGACACTCATCTATGTAGTAGAATATGGAAAGAGTTTTGTAAGCAAACATTGGGTTTGCTTAAATAGTTGTTTTAGTGTTCATATACCTGAAAATACCATAATCATTTGGACTTCTAAGGTTAGCTGTGAGGATATGATACAGGTGAGAACACTGGAAATGACTGCTGGAGATTTTTTAAAACCCAAGTATTAGGAGATCTGGCCACTCCTCACTTTATACTTTTGTATCTTTGGCAAAGCATTTAACATCTTCAATTCTAGACATAATCGTACAAGCTGAGGATTCTATCTCTGTATGCATACATATCTACATACTGAGATAGGTAGTTTTTCTAAAGTCGCTAGCTGTTGCAAAATTCAATAATTTTCTAAAGCTACTTAGAGTCTCAGTGAGAGCTGAGGGTCTAAGTTGTTTCATAACTTCAACTTGGTGTTCTTTCTAATAAGCTATTCTACTTTCAGAATTTAGTAAGATTTCTCTTTTCCTTCTACATTCTTTTACATGTGTTGCATGTATTTAGCCTTTAATAGTAAAATAATTGTTTGAACAATAATCTTTTTCCAGGTAGACTTTGCCAATGAAGACCAGCATTCCATTAATGTTCCAACATTATTCTGTTTTAGTAACTATTGCATGTGCATAGGTATCAGGAAAACAAACAAGCACAATGACCAACTGGTCCCACATCAGGTCTGTCAGAGCAGTGATCACTGAGAGAAACACTGGGAACACAAGTGTTATCATGTGTGAAGGTCTCCCTCTGCCCATTGCATTCTAGTGCATCATACAGAAGTTTAGTAAAGCCAGGGTAATCAGATTTCAGAAAAGGATCTGTCCTAGAATTTCAGGCAGGATGCTTAGGCTGCGAGAGACGAGGAAAGCTGCTCAGCTCCCCTCCACTGTGATCTAGAGTTGGATACACTAGCAGTACATTGTGAAAAAACCTTGACTTATGCTCTCTCACATGCATAGCTCAGTGTTTGTGGCTGGATGTGGCAATAGCCCATAAGCCATACTGATATCTATAGAGTTTTCAGAACAACTCATTTGTGTATAGTCCAAGATTCATAGTGTACTCTCAATATACACACACTATATCTATCTATCTATCTATCTATCTATCTATATATATATATATATATAGAACTACACTATGAATGCAAGTATAGGTGTACGTGTGTTGAGGTGTGTGGGGTGTAACTGGAAAAAATGAATTTAAATATTCTTCATCTTGACACACCCTGGAGAACAGATGGTGGTCTTCCCTGAGGGCTTAATTGAAGTCTGTTTAAAGGTAATTCTTAACTTCCACTAGACATTGAAGTTACCTTATAATTGCTTCTAGGGGCCTAAATGTCGTGGTGACACTTACATTTCTAACTTTACTTTCAACACTTCACTCTCATTCAATTCATGCCAGCCACACTGGCTTACCTTCTATCACTTTGACAATGCAGTTCTGTTTCACCTCCATGGAGAAACTCCAAAACCTGAAAAACCCTTTTCTAGATTCTAATTTCTTCTATTTGTTATATCAACATAAATTTGTTATTCGTGATAACATCTTGTTATGCCATCTTCAGAAGATGTTGTTGCCCGTCTCTCTCACATCCTTTGGTGCTCTTTATTGCATTTGTTATTATCTGAAATTATCTTAAATATTAACGTATCTCCTTTCTCTACCCACAAAAATATTAATTGCACAAGGAAAAGGATGCTCATATCTCCATTATTTTGCCCCATGATCTAGAACAGTTTATGAGACTTAGGGGGTACTCAATATTTTGAGTGAACAAATTAGACAGTGTTATAAAAGATGGTGAGGGGCTGAGGTCTTCATACCGGGGCTCATTACTTGCCAGGGAACGTTATGTTACGTGAGTCCCTGACAACAACTGTCGGTGTTTGAACCCAAAGTGGAAGAGGGTAACCAGATACCTGAACATAAAGAAGTGAGTGACTAGTACAGAGCTTTGGGGTGATTGGACACTTTCTGTTCTTTCTCAAATCTATGTTGGGGGAAAGGCCACAGAGCAGATAAGGAACAGGGGCATGAGCTATATTAAGAGGAAGAAATAGCCTATTCCTTTATAGCCAAAGAAGTAAAAAGCATTATAAATGATTATTAATAAAGAAAACTATTCTAAATCCTAGGAGTTTTTTAGTTATTCTTTTCTCTCTTCAATAAACAACACAAGAATATATTATCTAGTTATAGGGTTTTTTCCTTTTTTTCTCTTTGTGATTTTATATGTATATATATATATATACATATATACATATATGTATATGTATGTATACATATACATACATATACATATATACATATATATATAAAAGACATTTGAGCAAAAATATCCAAGAAGCTAATAAAGCCAAATTATTTTTATTTGCAGTTAAATGTAATGGAAGTAATTAATTGCTGAGCAAGAATGATAAATTTAAGTAGTGATTATTTTTTAATCATCAGTTGCATTCTAAGTTTCTTAAATACAGCCTAGCGTAGCACATTTCACATTTTTTTTAGCAAATTAGGAACATACTGTTTCTATATCTAAGGATATCTATTAATCCATTGTCAATTTACACTATATTATATTAGTACAGAATAAGAACACTAAAAGCCACAGTTCTATGCAATGGAAGTAGAAGAAATGCTAAATATTTAAATAGTTTACATACTGGTTAATTATCTTTTTGGTACCACATTAAAAAGTCTTATCTTTTAGATAAAGTGTGCTCCACTTATTTTTATTTATTTACAGAATCCCAGTGAGTAGTTAATTGGTTTTTTTCCTTTGGTTAGTCTATTATCTGAATATGCCTACTGATTTTTCCATCATGTTTTGTTGTATAATTTGGGACATTCAATTGTTCAGTTGGTGAGGAAGAGTTTATATATCTGAGTATGACCTTTTTCTTTTTTTCCTGTTAACATTTGATTAAAATATTAATATTTCCCTATGATACAAAATAATTAAATAATCATTAAGGACTTTGATGTCTATGGTATGATAGCAATATTATTTTCATCTATGAGTCCTATTTTATATGCCCTTTTTATAAATTCTAATTCTACTATAACCTGGATAAGGTAGGAATAAGATTGTTTAAAATCCCTAACTGTTGTAGGAAAAGAGAGAAAATTTCAGTCTTTAGAATGAAAAAACTTTTCTTATAATATTTAAGTTAGCTGCTACTCTCTTTCACCAGGTACCAGAATGTTCTTAAAGCAGTGTCTCATCAGCAAAATACACAGTATACTGAGAGTACCCAGATTAGAGAGAATCTTTCTACGAAGCAGATGAAACTGAAAGCGAGCAAAGAGAAAGGCAAAGACCTTCAAAATACATTGTTGAGCCTAAAATATAAACCTTAAGCATTACAGATAGAGAATAACTGTTCATTCATTTGGCATAATAGCTCACTAACAAGACAGCAACCACCAAACAGAGGGGAAAAATCACAACAGGGAAACAACAAGGACAAGACCAAAAGTTAGGATGACAAAGGAAAATGACTTGGACAGAATGTGAAAGTTATAATTCCTCACAACAACACTTCAACACTTGGTTAAGTATGTCAAAAATGACATTTCTAAGTAACCTTTTTGCTCAAGCAGAGTCCTAGCATGTATATGTATGCAAATTTATTTTTGGAGTAAATCAACAAACACTTGAATAAATAGGTAAACTTAGAAAGGAAACTGCAAGTATTGAAAAGACAGATATTTGTTTTCATCTCAACTAATCAAGAGTGCAGTGCCTCAAATGTGCCCATCCTGACAATAGGACACCCTTATAGATGTTCTTTGAAATTATTCTTCTATTATCCAAGATTTCATAATCTAGCATTTCTACCTACTTTATCAGAAAAAAAGAACACATATGAGTTAAATTATTCATTTTAATAATTTAGCTAACATAAACCTGATTATATTTACTTAGTAAGAATTGAAATGGCTTTCCCCAAGAATAACAGGGGCCAATAAAACCTTTATTACTCTTGAGTCAAGATATCTGGGTTCATATCCTGGCTTTGCCAATTAACTCAGTGTGTACTCTTTTGAGAATAATAAATCATTCTAAGTCTTAAATTCATCGTCTCTAAAAGGGAAATGGAAATATGAGCTATCTAATATAGATTTGTAAAGACTAAATATGATAATATTGGTAATGTAATCAAATATGATATATATCTTTATATCATGAGTTTAAATACTAATACATAACTATTTTGCTACTTTTACGTGTTAACAGCTAATATAGAACTGAGGAATAGTACGCTTTTAAAGATTTAAAATTTGTTGACATTTTCATTCATTTTGCTTTTTATATTTAATTTTTATGGTTACATAGTGGGTGTGTCTTATAGGTTTTGTTTAAGCAGCAAAAGGTCTCTAATAAATAGTGATCACTGGATTTAATGGATTTCTTTCTTTCTTCCTAATCTCTACATTTATAAGTGTTAAAATCATGCAGTTCTTCAAATGAGTAATGTGAGAGATCTATGGTTTATAGATCATGTTATAAATCTGTCTAAAATGCAGACATAAAAATTAAGCCTCTTTTTGACAAACACTGGGTCTCAGTAGATTAATTGAAAACAATAATTTGAATGAATTTCATGAAAATAAATCTTAATATAATGAACACAAAAGAATAAAACTATATCACTAAAAACAGTATTTTCCATTTTAGATGGACAAAACTTAATCATTTCCAAAAATTTCCATAGAATTTTTTCAAAAATTTAATCTGATTTTCTGAAATGGCACAGTTTCTCATATTTGATGATTCCTCTTCCATAGAAGGTACTCCTTTGCATACCAAGTGTCCAATCACCTTAGGTCTATAATAACTAGGACATCATATGACCCACTTCATATTAACTGGCTGTAAATTATCTGTTCCCTTGTTTATTTTAAATCTGTACTTGAAATGCAGGTTAAGTATCTAATCTGATCATTAGGCTTTTATGGAACAAATACTTACAGAGTCAATATCCTTAATTTTATATTGCTAATTATAAACTCAATAGTCACAGTATAAGACACAGGATTAGTTACCTTAAATTTTGGTCATATTCAAACCTCACTTGATAAATTCATTCATAATCAAACATTTCATTTTTTACTGAGGCACTAAACTATATTGACTCTTTACAAGAGTGGCAAAGTCAGGTTGCCTGGGTTTAAATTCTCTGCAATTTGGTGTCTTCATGCCTCAAGTTCCTCACCTGCACTATGGGAATAAGAACAGAACTGATAAAGTTGTTGTGATGGTTAAATGTGTTAATATTACAAAATATTTAGAATACAATGGGTACATCAGCGGGTGGCAAGATGGCCGAATAGGAACAGCTCCAGTCTGCAGCTCCCAGCGAGATCAACACAGAAGGTGGGTGATTTCTGCATTTCCAACTGAGGTAGCCGGTTTATCTCACTGGGGCTGGTTAGACAGTGGGTGCAGCCCATGGAGGGCGAGCAGAAGCAGGGTGGGGCATCACCTCACCTGGGAAGTGCAAGGGGTCGGGAACTCCTTCCCCTAGCCAAGGGAAGCCATGAGTGACTGTGCCATGAGGCACAGTGCATTCTGGCCCAGACACTATGCTTTTCCTGTGGTCTTCACAA
Organism: Homo sapiens; assembly: GCF_000001405.40. Classification (NCBI taxonomy): domain Eukaryota; kingdom Metazoa; phylum Chordata; class Mammalia; order Primates; family Hominidae; genus Homo; species Homo sapiens. The sequence goes on along the minus strand of NC_000004.12, from coordinate 135,474,123 downwards.
CCCACAGATCAGGAGATTCCCTTGGGTGCCTGCACCACCGGGGGCCCTGGGTTTCAAGCACATAATCGGGCAGCCAGCCATTTGGGCAGACACCAAGCTAGCTGTAGGAGTTGTTTTTTTTTCTTTTTTTCATACTCCAGTGGCTCCTGGAACACCAGTGAGACAGAACCATTCACTACCCTGGAAAGGGGGCTGAAGCCAGGGAGCCAAGTGGTCTAGCTCAGTGGATTCCACCCCCAAGGAGCCCAACAAACTAAGATCCACTGGCTTGAAATTCTCGCTAGCACAGTCTGAAATTGACCTGGGATGCTCGAGCTTGGTGAGGGGAGGGGTGTCCACCATTACTGAAGCTTGAGAAGCCGATTTTCCCCTCACAGTGTACACAAAGCCCCAGGGGGAAAGTTCGAACTGGGCGGAGCCCACCGCAACTCAGCAAAACCACTATAACCAGACTGCCTCTCTAGATTCCTCCTCTCTGGGCAGGGCATCTCTGAAAGAAAGGCAGCAGTCCCAGTCAGGGTCTTATAGATAGAACTCCCATCTCCCTGGGACAGAGCACCTGGGGGAAGGGGCAGCTGTGGGCACAGCTTCAGCAGATTTAAATTTTCCTGCCTGCTGGCTCTGAAGAGAGCAGCAGATCTTGCCGCACAGTACTCGAGCTCTGCTAAGGGACAGACTGACTCTTCAAGTGGGTCCCTGACCCCTGTGTCTTCTGACTGGGAGATTCCACCCAGCAAGGTTGAACAGACAGAGCTCTGGCTGGCATCTGGCGAGTGCCTCTCTTGGACAAAGCTTCCAGAGGAAGGAACAATCTATGCTGTTCTGCAGCCTCCGCTGGTGATACCCTGACAGATAGGGTCTGGAGTGGACTTCCAGAAAACTCCAGCAGACCTGCAGTGGAGTGGCCTGACTGTTACAAGGAAAACTAGCAAACAGAAATGAATAGTATCAACATTAACAAAAAGGGTGTCCACACAAAAACTGCATCCAAAGATCACCAACATCAAAGACCAAAGGTAGATAAATCCACACAGATGAGGAAAAACCAGCACAAAAAGGCTGAAAATTCTAAAAATCAGAATGCCTCTTCTCCTCCGAAGGATCACAACTCCTCGCCAGCAAGGGAACAAAACTGAATGGAGAATGAATTTGACAAATTGAAAAAAGTAGGCTTCAGAAGGTGGGTAAGAACAAACTCCTCCGAGCTAAAAGAGCATGTTTTAACCCAATGCAAGGGAGCTAAGAACCTTGAAAAATGGTTAAAGGAATTGCTAACAGGAATAACCAGTTTAGAGAAGAACATAAATGACTTGATGGAGCTGAAAAACACAGCACGAGAACTTCGTGAAGCATACACAAGCATAAATAGCTGAATTGATCAAGTGGAAAAAAGGATATCACAGATTGAATACCAACTAAATGAAATAAAGAGTGAAGACAAGATTAGGGAAAAAAGAAAGAAAAATGAAAAGGAACAAACAAAGCCTCCAAGAAATATGGGACAATGTGAAAAGACCAAACCTACGTTTGATTGGTGTACCTGAAAGTGAGGGGGAGAATGGAACTAAGTTGGAAAACACTCTTCAGGATATTATCCAGGAGAATATCCCGAACCTAGCAAGATAGGCCAATATTCAAATTCAGGAAATAGAGAGAACACCACAAAGATACTCCTTGAGAAGAGCAACCCCAAGACACATAATGGTCAGATTCACGAAGGTTGAAATGAAGGAAAAAAAAATGGTAAGAGCACAGAGAGAAAGGTTGGGTTATCCACAAAGGGAAGCCCATCATACTAACAGCGGATCTCTCTGCAGAAACCCTATAAGCCAGAAGAGAGTGGGGGCCAATACTCCACATTCTTAAAGAATAGAATTTTCAACCCAGAATTTCATATCCAGCCAAACTAAGCTCCATAAATAGAAGAGAAACAAAATCCTTTACAGACAAGCAAATGCTGAGAGATTTTGTCACCACCAGGCCTGCCTTACAAAATATCCTGAAAGAAGCCCTAAATATGGAAAGGAAAAACTGATACCAGCCACTGCAAAAACATACCAAATTGTAACGACCATCAACACTATAGATAAACTCCATCAACTAACGGGCAAAATAACCAGCTAGCATCATAATGACAGGATCAAATTAATACATAACGGTATTAACCTTAAATTTAAATGGGCTAAGTGCCCCAATTAAAAGACGCAATCTGGCAAATTGGATAAAGAATCAAGACCCATCTGTGTGCTGTATTCAGGAGAGCCATCTCACATGCAAAGACACACTTAGGCTCAAAATAAAGGGATGGAGGAATATTTACCAAAAAAATGGAAAACAAAACAAAACAAAAAGCACAGGTTGTAATCCTAGTCTCTGATAAAACAGACTTTAAACCAACAAAGATCAAAAATGACAAATAAGGGTATTACATAATGGTAAAGTGATCAACACAACAAGAAGAGCTAATTATCCTAAATATACATGCACCCAATCCAGGAGCACCCAGATTCATAAAGCAAGTTCTTAGAGACCTACAAAGAGACTTCGACTCCCACACAATAATGATGGGAGACTTTAACACCCCACTGTCAATATTAGACAGATCAAGACAAAAAATTAACGAAGGTATTCAGTACTTGAACTCAGTCTGGACCAAGTGGACCTAATAGACATCTATAGAACTCTCCACCCCAAATCAACAGAATATACATTCTTCTCAGCACCACATCACACTTATTCTAAAATTGACCACATAATTGGAAGTAAAACACTCCTCAGCAAATGCAAAAGAACAGAAATCATGACAAACAGTTTCTCAGACCACAGTGCAATCAAATTAGAACTCAGGATTAAGAAACTCACTCAAAATCACACAACTACATGGAAACTGAACAACCTTCTGCTGAATGACTACTGGGTAAATAACAAAATTAAGGCAGAAATTTAAAAAAAGCTTTTTAAACCAATGAGAACAAAGACACAACATACAAAATCTCTGGGATACAGCCACAGCGGTGTTTAGAGGGCAATTTATAGCACTAAATGCCCACAGGAGAAAGCAGGAAAGATCTAAAATGGACACCCTAACATCACAATTAAAAGAACTAGAGAAGCAAATTCAAACAAATTCAAAAGCTAACAGAACACAAGAAATAACTAAGATCAGAGCACAATAGAAAGAGATAGAGACACAAAAAATCCTTAAAAAGATCCATGACTCCACGATCTGGTTTTTTGAAAAGATTAACAACATAGATAGAGCACTAGCCACACTAATAAAGAAGAAAAGAGAGAAGAATCAAATAGACACAATAAAAAATGATAAAGAGGATATCACCACTGATCCCATAGAAATACACTATCATCATAAAATACTATAAACAGCTCTACACAAATAAACTAGAAAATCTAGAAGAAATGGATAACTTCCTGGACATATATCCCCTCCCAATATTAAACCAGGAATAAGTCGAATCCCTGAATAGAGCAATAACAAGTTCTGAAATTGAGGCAGTAATTAATAGCCTATCAAACCAAAAAAAGTCCAGGACCAGATGGATTCACAGCTGAGTTCTACGAGAGGTACAAAGAGGAGCTGGTACCATTCCTTCTGAAACTACTGAAACTACTCCAAACAATAGAAAAAGAGGCACTCCTACCTAACTCATTTTATGAGGCCGGTATCATCCTGATACCAAAACCTGGCAGAGACACAACAAAAAAAGAAAATTTCGGGCCAATATCCCTGATGACCATCAGTGCAAAAATCCTCAATAAAATACTGGCAAACCGAATCCAGCAGCACATCAAAAAGCTTATCCACCAAGATCAAGTTGGCTTCAACCCTAGGATGCAAAGCTGGTTCAACATATGCAAATCAATAAATATAATCTATCACATAAACAGAACCAATGACAAAAACCAAATGATTGTCTCAATAGATGCAGAAAAGGCCTTTGATAAAATCCAACACCTCTTCATGCCAAAACCTCTCAATAAACTAGGTAGTGATGGAACATATCTAAAAATAACAAGGGCTATTTATGACAAACCTGCAGGCAATATCATACTGAATGGGCAAAAGCTGGAAGCATTCCTTTTGAAAACTGGCACAAAACAAGGATCCCCTCTCTCACCACTCCTATTCAATATAGTATTGGAAGTTCTGGCCAGGGCAATCAGGCGAGAGAAAAAAATAAAGGGTATTTAAATAGGAAGATAGGAAGTCAAATTGTCTCTGTTTGAAGATGACATGATTGTATAGTTAGAAAACCCCATCGTCTCAGCCCAAAATCTCTTTAAACTGATAAGCAACTTCAGCAAATTCTCAAGATATAAAATCAATGTGCAAAATTCACAAGCATTCCTATACATCAATAATAGACAAACAGAGAGCCAAATCATGAGTGAACTCCCATTCACAATTGCTACAAAGAGAATAAAATACCTACGAATACAACTTAAAAGAGATGTGAAGCACCTCTTTAAGGAGAATTACAAACCACTGCTCCAGAAAATAAGAGACGACACAAACAAATGGAAAAACATTCAATGTTCATGGATAGGGAGAATCAATATTGTGACTATGGCCATACTGCCCAAAGTAATTTACAGATTCAATGCTCTCCCTATCAAGCTACCATTGACTTTCTTCACAGAATTAGAAAAATCTACTTTAAATTTCATATGGAACCAAAATAGAGCCCATGTAGCTAAGACAATCCTAAGCAAAAAGAACAAAGCTGGAGCCATCATGCAACCTGACTTCAAACTATACTACAAGGCTACAATTAAAAAAACAGCCTGGTACTAGTACCAAAAGAGACATATAGACCAATAAGACCTCAGAAATAATGCCGCATATCTACAACCATCTGATCTTTGACAAACCTGACAAAAACAAGCAATGGGGAAAGATTCCCTACTTAATAAATGGTTTTTGGAAAACTGGCTAGCCATATGCAGAAACCTGCAACTGGACCCCTTTCTTACAACTTTTACAAAAATTAACTCAAGATGGATTAAAGACTTAAACTTAACATCTAAAACCATAAAAAACCTAGAAGAAAACCTAGGCAATACCATTCAGGACATAGACATGGGCAAAGACTTCATGACTAAAACACAAAAAGCAATGACAACAAAAGCCAAAATTGACAAATGGGATCTAATTAAACTAAGGAGCTTCTGGGGAGCAAAATAAAGTATCATCAGAGTCAACAGGCAACCTACAGAATGGGAGAAAATTTTTGCAATCTATCCATCTGACAAAGGGCTAATATCCAGAATCTACAAAGAATTTAAACAAATTTACAAGAAAAAAAATAAGCAACCCCATCAAAAAGTGGGCAAATGATATAAACAGACACTTCTCAAAAGAAGACATTTATGTGGTCAAGAAACATGAAAAAAAGCTCATCATGACTGGTCATTAGAGAAATTCAAATCAAAACCACAATGAGATACCATCTCATGCCAGTTAGAATGGTGATCATTAAAAAGTCAGGAAACAACAGATGCTGAAGAGGATGTGGAGAAATGGGAAGATCAACCATTGTGGAAGACAGTGTGGCAGTTGGTCAAGGATCTAGAACCAGAAATACCATTTGATCCAGCAATCCCATTACGGGTTATATACCCAAAGGATTATAAATAATTCTATTATAAAGACACCTGCACACGTATGTTTATTGCAGCACTATTCACAATAGCAAAGATGTGGAACAAACACAAATGCCCATCAGTGACAGACTGGATAAAGGAATGTGTCACATATATACCATGGAATATTATGCAGCCACAAAAAAGGATGAGTTCATATCCTTTGCAGGGACATGGATAAGCTGGAAACCATCATTCCCAGCAAACTAACACAAGGACAGAAAACCAAACATCACATGTTTTCACTCATTAGTGGGAGTTGAACAATGAGAGCACATGGACACAGGGAGGGGAACATCACACACTGGGGCCTGTCAGGGGGTGGGGAGCTAGGGGAGGGATAGCATTAGGAGAAATACCTAATGTAGATGACAGGTTGATGGGTGCAGCAAACCACCATGGCACATGTATACCTATGTAACAAACCTGCACGTTCTGCACATATATCCTAGAACTTAAAGTGTAATAAAAAAATAAATAATAAAAAAGAATACAATGGGTACATCATTAGCAATTAATAAAAACTATTTTTATTATTAGATGCTCCATGAAGTACTAGCAATTCAAAGATAATATTAAATAATAACAATAATGATGAAAATGACAAAATATCACCATGATGGTGGTAATTACACCTGTATAATGAACATTTTTCTAATTAATCTAGATAAAATTAAGAAATATTATAAGCCTATGAGATAAGTACTATCCATTTCTTCATTTTAGGCATAAGGAATTTGAAATCTGAAGATATTAAGCGACTTGCCCAAAGTTATCTAATTAATATATACTGAGGTCAAAAGTGGAATCCAATCAGTATTAACTCTAGAGGGTATTCCCTAAATCATCTCCTTAAACTGCCTTCCCCCATCATCTGTTCCTTCAATTAGTTCACAGCCTAGATTAGAGAATGGGGAGCTAAATAAGAGATTACATGAGAAAATTAAAAGACATGCACATTTATACTCAAAGCAATAGTCTTCAAAGAAAGATTAACATTGAGCTGGGTCTTTCAGAATGCATAAGCTTTCCCTAAATGGATAAGAGAGATATTTGTATGCCAGGAATGGGAGTCAAGTATATTGGATGCCAGAGTAAAGGCCACAAATGATATGAACTAAGAGTATGACAATATAGTGCCAGAGGTGGCCAGGAAAACTATTTAGGGTCATGGCACAAAATACTTCTTTACCCATGTAAAATATTTTTAAATATTACCATACATTAGTAAAACTCTATAATTCTAGCATAAGAAATTGGAAATAACTCAAGTGTTTTTTCCTTTTGTTTTGTTTAATAAGCAAGAACATTTTCTATTATTACTTAACTGGCAACATAGAATGGGATAGAAGAGTCTAAGTTTGAAATAAAAGTAATAAGACTAAGGCAACTATTCAAAAACATAACTAAAATACTTGCAGTGGAGATAAGACAAAAATAATAGACTACAGAGAAATTTGAGTTCTAAAACACACAAAACTTCTTATAGCAATCCTCTGTGTGGGATGAAAGATTGAGAGAATTCTTTGTTTGCCCTGAGGTTCTGAGTGCTCTGTTCTGTTCTATAGTGATCCATGTTTGGATGCTATTATTATTTATTTGTAGATTAAATATGAAATAAGTGTCTTTTGGTTTTGAGCATTTTGATCCTTAATTTTCTAGAGAATGGAAGGATGGAGTCATCTAGCACATAACAGGCAACACATTTTTAAGCCTAGGAAAAATAATTTTTTTTAAAAAAGTGGAGATATTGGAATAAACTATGCATTATGTACAAACGTAGAGTAACTAATAGCTAGGGTTACTAAAACACATTGTCATTTTCTATTAGTGTAAACTACTAACTTGTCTCCACTACATAGCTTTTTATTTCTACTTTAACAGATTATTTTAATTGAGTAACATGAAAATGTTCAACTTCATCTGGGCCTGATGTTTCTGGAAAGCAGTGATGGTTGAGAAATTCCCTCATCTTTTTGTGTTTCAAAAGCCAGCTCATGGCAAATGATCACACTGCCCTTATATATTAGGTGAATTAATTAACCGTCTCCACCCTTGAAATAAGACTTGTTCATCATTTCTCAGGACTCCCATAAGACTTGCTGAGGACTCCCTTATCTGCTTTTCTACACTGCAGTTCTCCCTCCTTTTCCTGGAAACAATACTCAAAAATGAGAATTCCACCTATTGTAGTAGCTGAATAAAAACATCCCCTTACCTGGTGCATTTTATCCTCTACACAGGGAGCGATCAATCAACAGTGATTAATTTCCATGGACAGAGATGGATACAGATCTGAATTAATCTCAGTGTAGCCATTTGTTAGCTACATAACTCACAAAAGTTACTGTTTTCTTTATTTCTCAATGTGCTTACATGTTAAATGGAGCTTTTGTGAGGCTTCATTTCAATGTTTTACTTATTTTGAGATTTTTAACCAAATTACCTATATGAGAGAGCACGTCTTAATACTTCCAACTGAGGAGCCTACTATTTGCAAATTCCAAGGCAGTCTCTATGGACAATAAAATGGAGAAAAATATTACAGCTCTGTTTTCTGAATTGTCAAAGTTCAGAATCTAATATTAAGTGTTTGTTTCTTCCCTTCCTCTACCATCCATTTTCAATAACCATCCATTTTCAATAAGTTGTATCTAGTTCTTCCTTTTTTTTTTCTGACCTAATGCAACAACCCTAGCACAGATCTCATAATTTCTGGTTGACCAAAATAGCCTTCTAACAGCTGTTCTCACTGGAAAACTCCTCCTCATCCTTAACTATCTTCACATTATTTGTATTATTAAAATAGTAATACAAACTTATCATTCATAACCTACAAGTTTCTATGCCCTTATCATTTAAGAAAAAGTTGACCATCCTTATAACATCAAACTTCTTCATGATCTGGCCAATGCCAACAAATTTAACTTCATTTTTTGCTATTTCCTTACACAACATTTGTGTGCAACATCTAATCTAGAACATCCTATACTATAATCACAATAAACACTCTTGGAGGTCCAATTAAAAATTCTTATTACTACAATTTTAAAAAGGGGAAAAAGTAATCTTTATTTTCAGTATTCAAATGCCTAACTCTTATTGATTCTGAAAATTTTCCAGGAACACTACTCTTCTTCATTTTATATAGCTTAAAACTGTATTTTACCTTTTCTGTTTCTCTCAATAAACAAAATTCACGGAAAGTAAAGTGTTTGCTTTATTTTATTTGAATCCGTAACACCCAGCGCAGAACTTATTGCATATTAGGTTCACTCAGTATGAAAAAAGAAGTCATGATTCAAAATGAAAGTTTAAACGGAACAAAACCTGATCTGCTGTACATTAAACAACAAGTGAATTATCTAGTTAAAATTTTGTCTAAAGATGGTGAGAAAACCCCATCAAAATCCTTTATTAAACATTTGAATATTAATCACTATGTAAGAAAATTTTTGAATGTTTGCTTGCAATTTTTCTCCTACATACAGAAATAACATAATTTTTGACATAACTTATGTAAACACAGTTACATTTTTTTGTCGGCACTGTATCATGTGAAAACCACCAAATAGATTTTCACCAAAATTGGAGACTATATTTTGGTATTATTCAACTTAAAAAATATGTTCAATTAATTGTGCAAAATTCAATTTTTGAATATATGAGTAGAAATATACACTCATTTCACGATAGCTTATGATTATCCTGAGAAATAGGGCAGTTGTTCATTTAACCCATGTTTAACAATTATCTACTCTACGAGGCATAGAAATTCTTAGCAGGCTTTTGGAGCTAGGTCCTCCAGGGTTTCAGCTCAAAACCTAATTCTTCCACTAACCAGTTATGTGGCTTATGCAATTTACTTGACTTCTTTTTGCCTCTAGTTTCTAACTTTTATATTAAAAATAATACCAGTACTCAGTGTGCTTATTTATTTATTTATTTATTTATTTATTTATTTATTTATTTATTTATTACGTGAGATGGAGTCACACTCTGTAGACCCAGGCTGAAATGCAGTGGCGTGATCTCGGATCACTGCACCTCCACCTCCTGGGTTCAAGCGATTCTTCTGCGTCAGCCTCCCAAGTAGCTGGGATTACAGGTGCCACCACCACGTCAGGCTAATTTTTTTGTATATTTAGTAGAGAGGGGTTTCACTACGTTGGCCAGGCTGGTCTCGAACTCCTGACCTAGGGTGATCCACCTGCCTCGGCCTCCCAAACTGTTGGGATTACAGGCGTGAGCCACTGCACCCAGAGTAAATAAAATAGAATATGCACAGTTGTTCTAGGATAAGATGATTTAGTGACGTACTGAAAAAACTGAAAAGTTCAGCCCTCATGAATTGTATATCCTTAAGTAAGGCTATATATTAATAAATATTTGCATATACTAGTATAAAATTGTAATATTGAAAAATACTAAAAGAAACATATCTCTATGACAACTTGTATTGGGGTATGGGCAAATAATTGAGTTTTTAAAATGCTTCTCTGAGGAAAATATGACTGACCTGAGAATTTAATGTGATGAAAGGAAAAACATGTCAGATACAGGTGACACCATGAACAAAGAGACTGGTGAAAGAAAGAAGGATGAAAACTGAATGGAGACCTAACTGTATGGAGGAAAGAGAACAAAGGACTATAGGACTGGATGAGTCTAAAGAAATAAGGAGGAAACATAAAATGCCATTTTCAGCAGGAAAGTGTGTCAAGATTAGATGTGATTTATTTGAATGATAAACTAATTTTCACTGTGGAAAGGAGATTAGCAAAGTGGCCAGAAGGTATGTTGAAAATATAGGAGCTTATTGCAGGGGAATAAGGGAAAAATGTTAGTAATTTGAGGATCAGGTCACTGGTTTTAAATATAGAAAGAAAGAAATGAAGAGATATTTAGGAGGTAAAAGTTGCTACTTGTTAATGAATTAGGTTTAGAGGGCAAAAAAAAAAAATAGAGGAAGCAATTCTAAATTCTTAAGAAAAAAAAACTGTGAGAGGAAACTCTAGGTTTAGTCAACCTTTTAAAGTTTAAGTATTGGTGCCAATTTACTCATATGTTTTAACAGAATTAAAATGTATTCTTTCTATATGACCTTGAAGACATTGGGCACAGATTTTCACATACAAAATAATTTATTCCCTCACTCATGAAATTAAGGAGCTTGAAAATCAATTACCTGAATATTAAATGCTTTTGATAATCAATTAAATAAAAAATGAGGAAAAAACAATTTCTTTGAGAATAAGAGCATGTGCATATAAATATCTGACATCAATTTAATAGTAACCATGCCTACTATCATCATCACAATTCAGGTGCAGAATAATGGTTTGTGTTTTCTATTCCATTATAATATAGAAAATTTTTATTAAACTACATTAATGATTTTGGAAAGAAGGGATTTTAAAAGAACTAAAGAAAAGACTTTGCAACTCACTGAAATAGCCTACATTTACCAATTGGAAAAACCCAACCCAAATGTATGTCTCATATTAAATCAGATGCATTGTCTAAATATGATATATAGTAAAATAATGAATATGAGACATTACATATTCATTATAATTCATTATAACAAAATATAATTGTTAGAGTGCTTTCACTAAAATTATTCTATTTACATCTCATAACAGTATTATAAATTGGTATTTTTGATATAATTGTAGACATAAAGCAAAAGGACTAGGAAGAATTTGAATATATCCAAAGTTGAAAATCTAGTAAGCATATTTCTCCATATATCTAAGCCTTCTGGTTTCATATTTATCATTTTTTTCTTACTGTATGCTACCAATCCTGGTAATATTAATAGGATATCAGATGTTGTCCATAAAAACATACTAAGGCCATGATTGATGGTTTAGAAGTCTAGCAAATTCACAGCATTCACAGCCCTCCTCCAGCCTTGAATATCACTAATTAATCACCATATTTTCTCCTGTTGAACTTAAAACAAATGATGTTCTTACGGCCTTTCTCAATGCAATTGTCTTAACAATAATTAACATTGAGGCAGAGTTAATGCAGGGATAGAATCTGTGTTCTGAGCTATAAAGTTGAAAAAATTCCAAGTAATATATAAATCTCATCATTTGCTACACTGAATCTTGTAAGTTTAATACAAAATTCTCAACTGAATTAGGGACAATCGAATAATAATTTAAATAAATGCTTTTATTTTTTGTTTTCTTTGATAGAAAGAAGAAACGAACTTATAAATATCAAAGATATCATTTGAGATTACATAGCAATGGAGCAGCAAAGGTAAGATTTGCAATCAGGTCTATTTGACTTTATAAATGAATCCATAATTTGCTTCTTACCCTGACTAGGGTAGGAGCAGGACAGCAAGTGCACAAGGACTCTGCAGTACTTCTTTAGGATAGTTCTTTACACTTAGTCATATTGCTACCTGTAAATTTGGACTTGGCAGCATTCAGCATAGTTAGTCCCAAATAATGCAGAGTTGAGGCTAAAAGTAACATAATCTAACAAAAATGGAAGATTTGTTATTTTCCACTAGACATACAAAATTTCTGTATTTTCCAGTTACAAAAACCTTTATGATTTCCCCTTCTTGCATTTTATTTGGAGTAATGGGCAGGTTGACTTTTATAGTGAATGCTAAAGAGATGGTAAAATAAAAGAAATTTTAAACATTTAATTCCAAGTCATTTTTAATACTGTTCTTTTACTTACTACTCTGTGAGTAGATTTTGGGGTTAAAGAGAAATATATATTTTTCAGTTCACTGTCAAGTCTTAACAATACTCTTTTCAGAGATTGGCTGAGTTCCAAGAATCAATATTTATTCAAAGTATCTTTAAACATTTTGCAGCACTAAATCATTAAGTCTATAGAGGTATCCAAGCTTAGAATACTTGCCTCATGTGTGTATTTAATGCAACAAATATAAAAGTTATATTTTTCATGTGTCAATTACAGAAAAATAAGGCTGTATGATAGCAGGCCATTGGAAATCAAAAAAGCATTTCATAATACTGACATTGTAAATCAATACGTTCTAAAATACAGACTATCTCAGCACTCTGAAACTAACTTTGCCTGTTTTTTTTTCACTTCTTTCTTTTTCCCAAATGATTTTTATTGCTGGTAAAAGGAAATGTGAGAGTTGCTACATTGCACTTCCTTTTCTGTCTTTAAAGCTGCTTTGTATGTAGTTGCTATTGTTGTTATTATCATTATTAGTGTGATTACTCATGTACTAAAATAAGTGCTTGATCCAAGAACACACAAAATGGCCAGTGGTTTTAATCTAGCAGAGTAAGAAACACAAATTCCAACTCACTCAAAGCAATATAACCCATATTTTATATTCAAAAATAATACTGCTGACAATGTTAATGCACATGTTCACATGAGAACAATTAGGAAAATATATTTATGTGTAAACTATATTCCTTTCCTAAGTACACTAGCCTTTAACAACAAAAAATATATAATAATAGTAACAATAAATGTAATAAAATATCAACAGAAAAAATCGTTGGTAAGAAGTACTGAGCACACAGCCCAGTGGTGTCTTTCAGAGAGGGAATCTACTGTATACAGAAAAGCTCAGTGATGAGACTGTAAAGGGACATTCAACTGAACAGTATCACTACTTGGCAAAAATCATAGACTGGAAAATTGCAGAATTCTCACAGGCAGAGATAAAACATATGCAGATAAAAGTCGATGGCTTCTTCTTTCCTTACCATAGCCCAAGGGAGTTCGAAATCCATGAAGGAAGACTGGATCAACCAGAGGGGACTAATAGAGCAAGAGAACCCAAATTCTGTCATACTTTGGAAAGGACTGTGGTGTTTTATAACCCTTTTTAATAAACAATTGATTTTTCCCATTACACTACAAGATAAAAAAACAAAAGCAAAAACTAAGGCTTATATCATTTGATATATTTTGTCCTATTGCAGATTACAAAAATCTGGAGGTAAAATTTATGTTCAAAATAGAAGCATAAAAATTGTTACTTTATCTTTGTCATAGTGATTTCTTATAAAACTGTCAGCCATTATTCAAAATACACTCTCAACTCCATTTCCAGTCTATCCTCAGTGGTCCCTCAGTGGCACTAATAATCAGCCCCCTCACATAGTGAATGACAATTGCCATTTTTCTTCCCTCCAGCTTTTGTGGTCTGAGAAGATTTAATGCCAAGCTCCCTGGTGCTGACCAAGGTTGGGTCTCCTATTCCTATTGCTGCTGCTGTTACTAAAGATAAGCTGCACTAGCCAGAGACTGCACTGAAGCTGTACTGATTTGGTAAAACTCATAACCAAGCTGATATTGCTAAAGTAGGACTGGACAGAGGTCTCTGGAGTTCTTGATGGATCTGTACAGTAATCTGTGCTCCATCATTAACCCAACTTCTCAAGTAGCAGAATTCTAGTCATCATGTTTCACTCACTGTTTTTCTCATAGTTAAGATAAAGTTCAAATACTTTAGCAATTACATAGGGCCCTTCAAGAACTCCTGCCTAGCTCTACGTCTTAACTATAATCACACTCAATAGGACAAATACGCCAAACTACTTATAAATTCCCATTTCCACCATGAGCTTTCTTACCTTCAAGTTTTTCAAAGACTATTACCAAGAATATGTTCTCAACTATTTTTACATTGTGTCTGTAATAGACTTTATAGCAGTTTTAGGTTCGCAGCTAAACTGAACAGAAAGTACAGAGAATTTCAATACATTGTATGTTTTATTTATTTTAATGTTTAAAATACTAAAGGTATAAAGTATAAATGATAACCTTCTATATCTTCATCATTCAGAATTAACGTAAGTTCTTTTTGTTAAAAAATGACACAAGCATGCTAAAAAATATTCAAATAACTTAGAAAATACATGAAAAGAAGTAAAATATTTTAAAAGGCAAATTTTAATATAAGTAATCACTGTTAACATTATGTGGACTTCAGTTTATATCTACATTTACAATATAGTGGCCAGTCATAATAGCCAAATATGACTATTAAGCACTTAAATGTGGTTAGTGAAACTAAAAAACTGCATTTCTAATCTCACTTAATTTTATTAATTTTAGTTTAAATAGCCTTGTATGGCTTGTGGCTACTGTATTGAATAATGCAACTAGAGACATTATTTGATGTATATATGCATGTGAAAATGAAACATTTCTAAAAATAGAATTATGCTATGGATATTTTGAATATAATAACTCAATTTATGTTTGCTAAATTTTTACATAAGAAGTTAAAATGAAAACGAGAGAATTGTTGATATTGAAACAAATGTGTGTAGTACATAAATAATACTACTTTCTGACAGAGTTCACTAAGGTTAAGAACTTTTCAAAGGCATTAAGATGGCTCTTGTAAGCTCTGTGGTTTGCCTCTTTACTAAGAAATGATATTAGCAATTGCCTAGTTCTCCAATTTTCTCTGCCCTCAATTTTGCTTAGTTATGTGATTATTTTCACATTACCCAAGTTCATATAATTCTGTTTTATATCCAGAAGTAAGTTTTCAGTAGCATCATTATTTTTGAATGAATTAAATGCTCATAACTAGCTCTTAACACTCTTTTTTATTTTAAAAAACTTTAATTCAATCTTGATTGGATAGTAATTTTACCAAGGATTATTAATTAGCACTTCATTCCTTCATTTAAAAGGATATATTTGCAAATATCTATTTGTTGCTCTTATTTTAAAATGATATTTTGATTACATACGTTGTCTTAAATATCTACGACTGCATTAAAAACCCTACGACTTCTTGGCTTAAAATAGCAAACCTTTTATTTTTTCTCACCATTTTGTGGAATAGAAATGCAGAAAGAGGCTGGTAGGATACTTGATCTCTTTTCTAGAATATCCAGAGCTTTATCTGAAATGATTCCAACTGCCAAGGTTGGAACAGCTGAGATGGCTTTTTGCTCATGTATCTTATGCCTCAATGACACTCTACATGCCCTCTCACTCAAGCAAGGTAACCTTCCCGCATTTCAGCTAAATAAAGAGGGAAGGAGTAGTAATGCCAGCCCTTGTATAGTTGATGTTCAGATTTGCCACTACATCTCTTGCCCTCTTGTGCAAGGGAGGGATGACATACACTCCACCCAGGGAAGCCAGCACAGGGAAGAGACATATATTAATATGAAGTCATACGTTTCTTCAGAAATTTATAAGCCTTCTTTGATTTTCTTTCATTTAATATTGTTAAGTAATTTTAAGTCAAGCTGAAATATTTCTACCATACCCTCCTCCTTAGGCACACATCTTCTATTTTTTCTTGTTTTTAGTACATATATTTGAGAAATTAGTCTTTAGTCATTAAAAACTATAGGTGTACATATCTCCATTCACTATGGAACTCAGAGGGTTCTTATGTCTGCAAATTATTTTTTTAAATTATACCCTAGAAGTTCTCTGGATTATATCTTCGAGTAGATCTGTTTCATTTCTTGATTCCCTAACATAAGCAACAATTACATTTATGTCGGATGATATCACTAAATGCATTAACATTTTTGTCAGTTTTATGTGTATGCTATTTATTATCTTAATCTTTTCCTATGTGATTTAATTGTAGTGGTATTTTCAATTTATTTAATAATTGCATAGTCGTGTTGTTTTGGTCTTCTACTTGTTCTTTTTGTAATCTCTCTTCTTATCTCTTTCTGCTGTTTTATTATTTCTTCTAATTGCTCTTTATATTAAGTTCATGTTCTAATTAAATAACTCTCTGTATCACGCAATCATGTAGAATTATCTTCCCTTTATTGACCTATGTTTCTGTCTGTTTCATTTTATTTATTGTTTGGAGAGTGTGTGACTTTCTTCCCATGGAATGCATGAATAGTTGTTTATTTTCCTCTTGCTCAGATTTAACTCTTCCTGTAGTATCTGAGAATGTACCCCAAGTTATGGTTTAAGAACAGTGTTTTCTTATTCTCTCAATTTTCTGTTGCCTGAGGAAATAGCAGAGGATGAAAGAAAACTTAGGGAAAGTAGTGTATTCTATTCCTTTGTGCTTCCCTTACTTCTAAGACTTTGCTGAGACTTTTGTACTAGTATTCATTCTAATTATTTGGTGGGTGGACTTAAATCATTTTCTGATTTCATTCTATAATACTGAAATGATCTTCATTGTCCACATTCTTTGTTTTTCTGTTTCATTCATTTTTCCTTAGAGCTTGTAAATAGGAAAAAAATACAGATAACCACTCAGATTTCAGATTTACTAATGTTGTGTGTGTGAGAGGATTCTGAGTATTGTATTGACTAATCAGTATAAGCTCCAACGTGAAGAATAGTCTAGGAGCTGCTTCTTTATTCTCAGCTGTGTAATATTCTGTGTCTTTACTTATTAAACTAGAATAATCTCCATTTTCTTGTATAGTTGCTATAAATTAGGTGTTAGAGAAGGGAGAAGAAAATTCAGTTGGGAGTTTTACTGTTTGAATCCAAAAATACTCCACATTTTGGCAGAATAGTTCTCACACAAGTCTCAGAAGTCATGCTAGTATTATATCTGATTTTGTTCAGTCTGGATTGTGTAACTGCTTGTTCCCACAACAAAACTGATCACAGATTTTCCATTTCTTTATTGATCAGTCTTGCACAGTATTCACTGTGAACACCTTCAGGTGGGTCCTATCTGTCTTTAGTCCTAGTTCCTACTATATAATTAAACTTTGGGATATGTTAGGGTCTCTCTCTCTCTCTTTCTCATTTCTTCTGTGCACTATCTTCTCTTTTTTCTCTCTCTATTGTCACCTCTGCCCACTCCCCAGTACAACAGGATGGCTGACATGAGGTGGTATTCAAGCTTGTTCCATCACTCTGCCTCTTGAGGCTTTTCTTTGGATCCATATTACATAACTTTAATTTTTTTTCCCAAAGATAAGGATTCTCCATCAACTAATAAAAGTCTCTTGCAAAAATGCTGCAGACTGAACTTCTGTAACAATTTGGGGGGGGGTCTATAAAAATATCCAAATCCTAAATAAATAGTTTATTTCAAGCTAGGATCCAACAATATTTTTCTTCTGAATACAGTAAGAATTAACCTGAAGAGCCCCCTCAAATTTAGCTCCAAGTCATATCCAGGGATTATAATAGAAATTCACATATGCATGTTATTCATGTCCCTGACCATGCTTCTAATGCAAATACCCAAGTAGCAAACATAAAAAGCAGTAACATTACCTTCTGTCTTCTTTCAATTGGATTCTAAATATTGTATCTATTTACTGGCCCTGATATAAATCATGCTGCTGTTTGTGTGTTTCTCTCTTTACCTATTTATTATAATAGGTTCCTATTTTTCAGCCCACTCCCAACCCCAGGCTAGATGCTCCTTCCCGATGTGAAAATCACTCTATATTTTTTTGCTATTACATATCAAACTTCTGTAGGCAGAAAACATCTAGCAGCAGCACAGTTGTTTCCAGCCAGAGCAGTTGCACATTTATGAGGAGAGAGGTTACTTTCAAATATGTGAAAATGCGGCAGTTAGATATAATCTTTGCTCTGCTGACTGGGGAATAAAAAGGCAAAAAGCTTTTTGTACAATTTTAGAGATTTGGCTATAATTATGTACATATAGGTGTCAGACAGAGTAACCCTTGTAAGTAACAATAAATGACTCTGAATCATTTTATTAACCTTTTTTTTTATTTGCCATTTACTGGGAAAGTGACCTTTCCAAAAGCCGGTTAATTCATGTAAGTTATTATAACTTTGAACAATACTTAGGAAAGAGAGGCATTTTATTACAGAGATCATCTTGTTAACAATCAAAGCAATTCGCAGGAGAAATTGTAGAAGGATAGATGTAATAACTGACAGCCTTCTTACTACTTAATTCTGTTATCCTAGGAGACAATACTTTAAAAAATAAAAGCACCCTATGACCTTTATATCACAGTCTCACAAAAATTATAAAATCAAAAGTGACCTTACAAACAATCTAATCTAAGTGGTTTATTTTATAATTAAAGGAAATGATATCCAAGTAAGTTAACATGATCCAGCAGTTTGGTCTCACAAGATCACAAAGCAGCATAATAAAATGTGACGACTAGATCCTGATTTATCTAATTCGCCACCCAATTTCTCTCCACTAACTTACATCAACCTCCATAAAACCCCCACATTAGAAAATGTCTTTTTATTCCTACAGAATATTAGTAAAGAACACAGAATACACCTCTTACTGGCCATGTCACATTGGAGGAGCTATATAACCTTCTCATGACTCAAATTCCTTATTAGAAAAGAAAGCAATAATCACTTATTTTCTTTAACTTAAAAACAAGAAAAATCAAATATAGTTGTAGTAAATTTTACCATGTCTTCATGAAACTTCTCTATATATCTCCAGATATATTAAACCTTAACCGTCACAGATGGCCTTGCATATATTTAACAGTTAACATATCAGTTAAATAATGGAGCAATCTCATTTCCTTGTCACAAGACCTGCAAAGTTATATCCTTTAGCAAAAATAACTGTTTCTGTCTATTCTTTTACATTTAAACGTACAATATCAGTTGCACTCTGGAGTTTATGCATTTTTTCTCAGCAGCATTTGGCACTGTTGACCACTAAATCTTCTCCTTTTTTTTTTCTTTCTTATTTTTTAATATCACAGTATGGTCAGAACATCTAAGTCTCTAATATATAGTATTCTTCCTACACTCGTTCATTAAACTCATAGTTTTGAGAATTATCTCCTATAATACTCTCTTTTATCACTCAACACACTCTCCATGGGAAATATTATCCCCTCTCATGGTTTAAATTATTTATTTACCATTATCTATATTATGGCCTGGTATTATTCCCAAGCATCTGAAACATGTATCTAAAAAATATTGCCCTTTATATATCCCTCATTTTATTAGGTAAATTTTTTCTACATTTCAGGAGGTTCCCTTTTCCTTATTAACCTCATAATAGTTTACTGAAATAAATCAGAGAGTGATCAAAACACTTAGGGACAGATAATGGGCAGAAATAATTTTCAATAAAGTTTCTCTTTATTTCTCTCAAAATAAGTAAAATCATATGATACTTGCATTGTTTATACAAAATTCACAGTAAATTTGGAGAAATCCACTATCCTGATTTTTGAGAGAGAGATCCAAAGATTCCTGTATTGTCAACAATAAGGATACAATAAAGTCTATGCTTCTTGTTGGTGTAACCCATCTCTTCTTTCATATTGAAGATGATTAAAGTGATGACAAAATTACAACTTATCCATTCTCATTAAGATACTAAAGGAAATTTTCTCTACTTTTTAAACAGATGTAGTTCAAAACAATAAGTACACAAATATTTTCACATAATATCAACATAAAAGTAAATATAATATCACATAATATCAACATCATTATGTTTTAGATATCATTTCCTTTAATTATAAAATAAATATGATATTATATTTCATATAATATCAACATCAAGTAAAGACTTGAGGGAATCTCAACACTTTACTTTCTTCCCTGATTTTATCTAAATTGTAATTTACCTTTTAGTATGCTGCATACCCTAACTTCCTGGTAAGCTTATTTAAACACATGGATTTATAGATGAATAAACTTTTAAACTGTGGAATCCTCCATCCACTGAAGCAAGGTTGCTACAAAGGGCTCTTTCTATACTTTAATATCAGATCTAAAACTGAACCCGTAGTCTCTTCTCATTCTTCAACCAGGTCATCCCCCTGTGTCATGCAAAAGCGCACAAATAGACCAAGATATTCCCACCATAAATCCAAGTGCTATCCTAGAGTTTTTCATTTTCATTGTCCCTCAATCCAACCATTCATTGATTAAGTCATAGTTATTTTTTATTTCTCTCTTCATGTTTTCTGTTTCTTTTTTTTAATTATTATTTTTTTTTATTATTATACTTTAAGTTTTAGGGTACATGTGCACAATGTGCAGGTTAGTTACATATGTATACATGTGCCATGCTGGTGCGCTGCACCCACCAACTCATCATCTAGCATTAGGTATATCTCCCAATGCCATACCTCCCCTCTCCCCCCACGCCACAACAGTCTCCAGAGTGTGATGTTCCCCTTCCTGTGTCCATGTGTTCTCATTGTTCAGTTCCCACCTATGAGTGAGAATATGCGGTGTTTGGTTTTTTGTTCTTGCGATAGTTTCTGAGAATGATGATTTCCAATTTCATCCATGTCCCTACAAAGGACATGAACTCATCATTTTTTATGGCTGCATATTATTCCATGGTATATATGTGCCACATTTTCTTAATCCAGTCTATCATTGTTGGACACTTGGGTTGGTTCCAAGTCTTTGCTATTGTGAATAATGCTGCAATAAACATACGTGTGCATGTGTCTTTATAGCAGCATGATTTACAGTCCTTTGGGTATATACCCAGTAGTGGGATGGCTGGGTCAAATGGTATTTCCAGTTCTAGATCCCTGAGGAATCGCCACACTGACTTCCACAATGGTTGAACTAGTTTACAGTCCCACCAACAGTGTAAAAGTGTTCCTATTTCTCCACATCCTCTCCAGCACCTGTTGTTTCCTGACTTTTTAATGATTGCCATCCTAACTGGTGTGAGATGGTATCTCATTGTGGTTTTGATTTGCATTTCTCTGATGGCCAGTGATGATGAGCATTTTTTCATGTGTCTGTTGGCTGCAGAAATGTCTTCTTTTGAGAAGTGTCTGTTCATGTCCTTCGCCCACTTTTTGATGGGGTTGTTTGTTTTTTTCTTGTAAATTTGTTTGAATTCATTGTAGATTCTGGATATTAGCCCTTTGTCAGATGAGTAGGTTACGAAAATTTTCTCCCATTTTGTAGGTTGCCTGTTCACTCTGATGGTAGTTTCTTTTGCTGTGCAGAAGCTCTTTAGTTTAATTAGATCCCATTTGTCAATTTTGTCTTTTGTTGCCATTGCTTTTGGTGTTTTAGACATGAAGTCCTTGCCCATGCCTATGTCCTGAATGGTAATGCCTAGGTTTTCTTCTAGGGTTTTTATGGTTTTAGGTCTAACGTTTAAGTCTTTAATCCATCTTGAATTGATTTTTGTATAAGGTGTAAGGAAGGGATCCAGTTTCAGCTTTCTACATATGGCTAGCCAGTTTTCCCAGCACCATTTATTAAATAGGGAATCCTTTCCCCATTGCTTGTTTTTCTCAGGTTTGTCAAAGATCAGATAGTTGTAGATATGCGGCATTATTTCTGAGGGCTCTGTTCTGTTCCATTGATCTATATCTCTGTTTTGGTACCAGTACCATGCTGTTTTGGTTACTGTAGCCTTGTAGTATAGTTTGAAGTCAGGTAGTGTGATGCCTCCAGCTTTGTTCTTTTGGCTTAGGATTGACTTGGCGATGCGGGCTCTTTTTTGGTTCCATATGAACTTTAAAGTAGTTTTTTCCAATTCTGTGAAGAAAGGCATTGGTAGCTTGACGGGGATGGCATTGAATCTGTAAATTATCTTGGGCAGTATGGCCATTTTCATGATATTGATTCTTCCTACCCATGAGCATGGAATGTTCTTCCATTTGTTTGCATCCTCTTTTATTTCCTTGAGCAGTGGTTTGTAGTTCTCCTTGAAGAGGTCCTTCACATCCCTTGTAAGTTGGATTCCTAGCTATTTTATTCTCTTTGAAGCAATTGTGAATGGGAGTTCACTCATGATTTGGCTCTCTGTTTGTCTGTTGTTGGTGTATAAGAATGCTTGTGATTTTTGTACATTGATTTTGTATCCTGAGACTTTGCTGAAGTTGCTTATCAGCTTAAGGAGATTTTGGGCTGAGACAATGGGGTTTTCTAGATATACAATCATGTCGTCTGCAAACAGGGACAATTTGACTTCCTCTTTTCCTAATTGAATACCCTTTATTTCCTTCTCCTGCCTAATTACCCTGGTCAGAACATCTAACACTATGTTGAATAGGAGTGGTGAGAGAGGGCATCCCTGTCTTGTGCCAGTTTTCAAAGGGAATGCTTCCAGTTTTTGCCCATTCAGTATGATATTGGCTGTGGGTTTGTCATAGATAGCTCTTATTATTTTGAAATATGTCCCATCAATACCTAATTTATTGAGAGTTTTTAGCATGAAGGGTTGTTGAATTTTGTCAAAGGCTTTTCCTGCATCTATTGAGATAATCATGTGTTTTTTGTCTTTGGCTCTGTTTATATGCTGGATTACATTTATTGATTTGTGTATATTGAACCAGCCTTGCATCCCAGGGAGGAAGCCCACTTGATCATGGTGGATAAGCTTTTTGACGTGCTGCTGGATTCGTTTTGCCAGTATTTTATTGAGGATTTTTGCATCAATGTTCATCAAGGATATTGGTCTAAGATTCTCCTTTTTTGTTGTGTCTCTGCCTGGCTTTGGTATCAGAATGATGCTGGCCCCATAAAATGAGTTAGGGAGGATTCCCTCTTTTTCTATTGATTGGAATAGTTTCAGAAGGAATGGTACCAGTTCCTCCTTGTACATCTGGTAGAATTCCGCTGTGAATCCATCTGGTCCTGGACTTTTTGGTTGGTAAGCTATTGATTATTGCCACAATTTCAAATCCTGTTATTGGTCTATTCAGAGATTCAACTTCTTCCTGATTTAGTCTTGGGAGAGTGTATGTGTCGAGGAATTTATCCATTTCTTCTAGATTTTCTAGTTTATTTGCGTAGAGGTGTTTGTAGTATTCTCTGATGGTAGTTTGTATTTCTGTGGGATCGGTGGTGATATCCCCTTTATCATTTTTTATTGCGTCTATTTGATTCATCTCTCTTTTTTTCTTTATTAGTCTTGCTAGTGGTCTATCAATTTTGTTGATCCTTTCAAAAAACCAGCTCCTGGATTCATTAATTTTTTGAAGGGTTTTTTGTGTCTCTATTTCCTTCAGTTCTGCTCTGATTTTAGTTATTTCTTGCCTTCTGCTAGCTTTTGAATGTGTTTGCTCTTGCTTTTCTAGTTCTTTTAATTGTGATGTTAGGGTGTCAATTTTGGATCTTTCCTGCTTTCTCTTGTGGGCATTTAGTGCTATAAATTTCCCTCTATACACTGCTTTGAATGAGTCCCAGAGATTCTGGTATGTTGTGTCTTTGTTCTCGTTGGTTTCAAAGAACATCTTTATTTCTGCCTTCATTTTGTTATGTACCCAGTAGTCATTCAGGAACAGCTTGTTCAGTTTCCATGTAGTTGAGCGGTTTTGAGTGAGATTCTTAATCCTGAGTTCTAGTTTGATTGCACTGTGGTCTGAGAGATAGTTTGTTATAATTTCTGTTCTTTTGCATTTGCTGAGGAGAGCTTTACTTCCAAGTATGTGGTCAATTTTGGAATAGGTGTGGTGTGGTGCTGAAAAAAATGTATATTCTGTTGATTTGGGGTGGAGAGTTCTGTAGATGTCTATCAGGTCCGCTTGGTACAGACCTGAGTTCAATTCCTGGGTATCCTTGTTGACTTTCTGTCTCATTGATCTGTCTAATGTTGACAGTGGGGTGTTAAAGTCTCCCATTATTAATGTGTGGGGGTCTAAGTCTCTTTGTAGGTCACTCAGGACTTGCTTTATGAATCTGGGTGCTCCTGTATTGGGTGCATATATATTTAGGATAGTTAGCTCTTCTTGTTGATTTGATCCCTTTACCATTATGTAATGGCCTTCTTTGTCTCTTTTGATCTTTGTTGGTTTAAAGTCTGTTTTATCAGAGACTAGGATTGCAACCCCTGCCTTTTTTTGTTTTCCATTTGCTTGGTAGATCTTCCTCCATCCTTTTATTTTGAGCCTATGTGTGTCTCTGCACGTGAGATGGGTTTCCTGAATACAGCACACTGATGGGTCTTGACTCTTTATCCAATTTGCCAGTCTGTGTCTTTTAATTGGAGCATTTAGTCCATTCACATTTAAAGTTAATATTGTTATGTGTGAATTTGATCCTGTCATTATGATGTTTGCTGGTTATTTTGGTCTTTAGTTGACGCAGTTTCTTCCTAGTCTCGATGGTCTTTACATTTTGGCATGATTTTGCAGCGGCTGGTACCGGTTGTTCCTTTCCATGTTTAGCGCTTCCTTCAGGAGCTCTTTTAGGGCAGGCCTGGTGGTGACAAAATCTCTCAGCATTTGCTTGTCTATAAAGTATTTTATTTCTCCTTCACTTATGAAGCTTAGTTTGGCTGGATATGAAATTCTGGGTTGAAAATTCTTTTCTTTAAGAATGTTGAATATTGGCCCCCACTCTCTTCTGGCTTGTAGGGTTTCTGCTGAGAGATCCACTGTTAGTCTGATGGGCTTCCCTTTGAGGGTAACCCGACCTTTCTCTCTGGCTGCCCTTAACATTTTTTCCTTCATTTCAACTTTGGTGAATCTGACAATTATGTGTCTTGGAGTTGCTCTTCTCGAGGAGTATCTTTGTGGCATTCTCTGTATTTCCTGAATCTGAACATTGGCCCGCCTTGCTAGATTGGGGAAGTTCTCCTGGATAATATCCTGCAGAGTGTTTTCCAACTTGGTTCCATTCTCCCCGTCACTTTCAGGTACACCAATCAGACGTAAATTTGGTCTTTTCACATAGTCCCATATTTCTTGGAGGCTTTGCTCGTTTCTTTTTATTCTTTTTTCTCTAAACGTCCCTTCTCACTTCATTTCATTCATTTCATCTTCCATCGCTGATACCCTTTCTTCCAGTTGATCGCATCGGCTCCTGAGTCTTCTGCATTCTTCATGTAGTTCTCGAGCCTTGGTTTTCAGCTCCATCAGCTCCTTTAAGCACTTCTCTGTATTGGTTATTCTAGTTAGACATTCTTCTAAATTTTTTTCAAAGTTTTCAACTTCTTTGCCTTTGGTTTGAATGTCCCGTAGCTCAGAGTAATTTGATCGTCTGAAGCCTTCTTCTCTCAGCTCATCAAAGTCATTTTCCATCCAGCTTTGTTCCGTTGCTGGTGAGGAACTGCGTTCCTTTGGAGGAGGAGAGGCGCTCTGCTTTTTAGAGTTTCCAGTTTTTCTGTTCTGTTTTTTCCCCATCTTTGTGGTTTTATCTACTTTTGGTCTTTGATGATGGTGATGTACAGATGGGTTTTTTGTGTGGATGTCCTTTCTGTTTGTTAGTTTTCCTTCTAACAGAGAGGACCCTCAGCTGCAGGTCTGTTGGAATACCCTGCCGTGTGAGGTGTCAGTGTGTCCCTGCTGGGGGGTGCCTCCCAGTTAGGCTGCTCGGGGGTCAGGGGTCAGGGACCCACTTGAGGAGGCAGTCTGCCCGTTCTCAGATCCCCAGCTGCATGCTGAGACTGCTCTCTTCAAAGCTGTCAGACAGGGACATTTAAGTCTGCAGAGGTTACTGCTGTCTTTTTGTCTGTGCCCTGCCCCCAGAGGTGGAGCCTACAGAGGCAGGCAGGCCTCCTTGAGCTGTGGTGGGCTCCACCCAGTTCGAGCTTCCCGGCTGCTTTGTTTACTTAATCAAGCCTGGGCAATGGCGGGCGTCCCTCCCCCAGCCTGGCTGCCGCCTTGCAGTTTGATCTCAGACTGCTGTGCTAGCAATCAGCAAGACTCCGTGGGCGTAGGACCCTCCGAGCCAGGTGTGGGATATAGTCTCGTGGTGCGCCATTTTTTAAGCCCGTCAGAAAAGCGCAGTATTCGGGTGGGAGTGACCCTATTTTCCAGGTGCGTCCATCACCCCTTTCTTTGACTCGGAAAGGGAACTCCCTGACCCCTTGCGCTTCCCCAGTGAGGTAATGCCTCACCCTGCTTCGGCTCGTGCACGGTGCGCGCACCCACTGACCTGCGCCCACTGTCTGGCGCTCCCTAGTGAGATGAACCTGGTACCTCAGATGGAAATGCAGAAATCACCCGTCTTCTGCATCGCTCACGCTGGTAGCTGTAGACCGGAGCTGTTCCTATTCGGC
Source organism: Homo sapiens (assembly GCF_000001405.40). NCBI lineage: Eukaryota > Metazoa > Chordata > Mammalia > Primates > Hominidae > Homo > Homo sapiens. The sequence goes on along the minus strand of NC_000004.12, from coordinate 135,447,554 downwards.
CATCTTGGCTCTCCCTCGTGAGTTCTCTGTTTCTTTATACCAAATTCATGCAACATAATTTAGGTGGTCGTTATTCCTTACTTACCTAAATGACAAAAAAAAAAAAAAGGTTTCCCAGTCAGGCGCGGTGGCTCGCGCCTGTAATCCCAGCACTTTGGGAGCCTGAGGTGGGTGGGTCACCTGAGGTCAGGAGTTCAAGACCAGCCTGGCCAACATGGTGAGACCCTGTCAAAGTAAAAATATAAAAATTAGCTGAGCATGCGGCGGGTGCCTGTAATCCCAGGTACTTGTGAGGCTAAGGCAGGAGAGTCGCTTGAAACTGGGAGGCAGAGGTTGAAGTGAGCCAAGATCGTACCATTGCACTCCAACCTGTGCAACAAGAGCAAAACTCCGTTTAAAACAAAACAAAACAAAAACAAAAGCAAAAAAAGCAGAAAGAAAAAGAAAAAAAGGTTTCTTTCAAATGTGTTTTAATGCTAGAACCTTATGTTCTAGAAATAAAATAATTATCTTTAATAGATCTTAAAATGCCTTGCAGAATCTCATCTTTCTGTACCTTAAAGATACTTTCACAAGAGTTTACTGTCTTTTCTTTACTTTCCTATCATAATTTTTATTATAATTGCCTTTGAATCAGAATTTATCCCTACTTCATCAATAATTACAAAGAAGGAAGACACCCATTTGAACTAATTCACCATTGTATAAACAGCAACAAAATTGTTGCTTGAAAATAGTTGTCAGTAAGTATTAGCTAAATAAAGTGTATTAAGACAAATTTGAATTTGGGTAGATTTATTAGAAAATCCTTTGAAAAGAGAAAAATGTGTTTAAATTATAATCATAGAATAAACCACCTGTCTACTGTACACACAGTTGATGGCATATTCATATTTTACTATTGATATCATATATTAAGGTGAGAAGGCACATATTTCTTAGAATTGTCAACAAACACTGAACAAAATGATATGATTTTCTTGAAGATTTAATGTTGCACTTAAAACTTTATATTGCGCTAGAGCCAATCTTTAAGCATTGTTTACAAACTAGAAAATCAAGCTAAAAGAAATAATCATTTTAGATTCAAACTATACAATATACAAAATATTCAATTGAGAAAGGAGCAATTATTTAAAACAATAGTAGAAATACTTATAAGACATACTTATAAGAAACAATTTTTGTTAGCAAGGAAATATTTGTCATAAAATGAAGCAATTGTCTTTGACTTTAAGGTAATGCCATTATTAAGAAAAAATTACATTTTTTTAGATTACTAGTGTAAATAAAATACTCTAAGTATTTAATAACAAAATATATATTGAAAAAACATGATTTATTTAAATATATTTTTTCTTTTTTAGTTTTGGTTAAAAAATGTGAGTTCTACCCTCAATAAAATTTTAAGTAAAGTTTTACAGTATTATTAACTCTAAGCAAAATGTTGTGCTGAAGATCTCTAGAACTTTTTTTATCTTGCATCACTGGAACTTAATACCCATCAAACAATAACTCCCATTTCCCCCTCATCCCAGCCCCTGGCAACCACCATTCTACTTTCTGCTTTTATTAGTTTAATTACTTTAGATGCTTCTTGTAAGTAGAATCATGCAGTATTTGGCTTTCTGTGTCCAGCTTACTTCACTTAGCATAATGTCTCAAGGTTGATTCCTGTTGGTAGGATATAACAGAATTTCCTTTGTGATAGCTGAATAATATTTCATTCTATATATATACCACATTTTTTCCTTTTTTTTTTTTTTTTTAAGACAGTGTCTCGCTCTGGCACCCAGCCTGGAGTGCAGCGGTGCGACCTCTACTTACTGCAAACTCCACCTCCCAGGCTCGAGTAATTCTCTGCCTCAGCCACTTGAGTAGCTGGGATTACAGGTGTGTGCCACCACACCTGGCTAGTTTTTGTATTTTTAGTAGAGACAGGGTTTCACCATGTTGGACAGGCGATCTCAAACTCCTGGCCTCAAGTGATCCACTGGCCTCAGCCTCCCAAAGTGCTGGGATTACAGGCATGAGCCACTGTGCGCAGCCAAATTTTCTTTATCCATTTGTCTATATCTGTGGATGAAGGTTGTTTCCAACTCTTGGCTATTGTGAAAAGTGTGAACATTAGCTACAATGAACACACAAATGCATAAATCTCTTTGACCCTGATTTCGATTTTTGGGTGGTAAGTAACAAAAAGTGAGATTACTAGATCATACAGTAGTTCTAATTTTAATTTTTGAGGTCTTATATGTAAGTCTTCAATCCATTTTGAATTTATTGTGAGCTAAGCATGCAAATTCATTTTTTGAATGAGAATATCCAGTTTTCCCAACACCGAATATTAGGTGATTTCCCAACAGCTAATATATGTGGGTTTATTTCTGAATTCTTTATTCTGTTCCATTAGTATATATGTCTGTATGCTGGTACCATATCATTTTGATTACTGTACCTTTATATTTTGTTTTGAAATCGGAATGTGTGAGGCCTCCAGCTTTATTCTTCTTTCTCAAGATTGTTTTCGCTATTTGGCATTCTACCAATTCCATGTAGATTGTAGGATTGTTTTTTTCTATTTCTGTAAAAATGTAATTGGGATCTTGATAGTCATTTGATTGAATCTTTGACTAGCATGAAGATTTTAATTGTACTTTTTATGAGATTAACTATTTTAGATTCCACATATGTGTAAAATCATGCAGTGTTTATCTTTCTGTGCCTAGTTTATTTTACTTAACATTATATCATCTAGATTCATCCATGGTAGTGCAAATGACAGAATTTCATTATATTTTATAGCTGAACAGTATTCTTTTGTGTGTATATTTATATATATAAACTTTTTTTCATCCATTTGGCCATTGATAGACTTTTAGGTTGATTCCATCTCTTGATTATTGTGAATAGTGCTGCAATGAACATAGCAACACAGATATCACTTTGACATACTGATTTCACTTCCTTTAAATATATATTTATATTCAATTACTGGATCAAACAGTAGTTCAATTTTTAATTTTTTAAGGAAATTCAATATTGTTTTCCATAATGGCTGAACTAATTTACATCTCCAACAAAAGCATATTAATTCCCCTTTCTCAGCATCCAAGCCAGAATTTGTTATTTTTTGTCTTTTTGATGATAGTCATTCTATCTGGAGTGAGGTGATATCTCACTGTGATTTTGTTTGGCATTTCCTTAAAAGCTAATGATGTTGAACATTTTGTCATGTATTTGATGGTCAATTGCATGCCTTCTATAGAGAAATGTCTAGTTAGCTATTTTGTCCCTTTTAAAAATCAGAGATCATTTGTGATTTTTTGCTCCTGAGTTGTTTGAGTTAACCATTGTCAGATACTTGGTTTGTAACTATTTTCTCCCAACCAGTTTTCTCTTCACTCTGTGGATTTCTTGGCTGTGCAGAAGTGTTTTTTCTTTGTCTGTGTTTTGTGTCGTTATTCATTTATTTAGAAGTAATCTCAGTTGTCTTCTTTTGCTTTTATTGTTTGTGTTCTTGAAGTCCTATCCAAAAACTCCTTCCCCAGACTCCCATATGATTTCTTTCAGTAGTTTTAATTTTAACTATTGGGTCTTACTTTTAAGTTTTTAATATATGTATAGTTGATTAACAGAGAGAACAGACTTACTTTTAAGTTTTTATTCAATTCAGAGAGAGAGAACACTCTACTTTCATTCTTCGGCATGCAAATATCCAATTTTCTCACGATCATTTATTGCTGTGTCTGCCCTTTCTGTAATGTGCTTTTTGGGCACCTTGCTTGAAAATAAAATGGCTGTAAATGTGTGGATTTGTTTCTGTAGTCTCTATCCTTTTTCATTAGTCCGTCTGATTTTATAACAATATTACACTGTTTTGATTTCTATAGCTCTGTAATACATTTTAAAGTTATGCCTTCAGCTTTTTTTTCTTTTTTTTTTTTTTCAAGATTTCTTTAGCCATTAGAGTCTTTTGTAGTTCTGTATAAATTTTAGGGTTTTTTTTTTCTATTTTAGTAAAAAATGTCATTGGTATTTTGATAGGAATTGCATTACATCTGTTGATTGCTTTGGATGGTATAGACATTTTCATGATATTAATTATTCTAATCTATGAATATGAGATATCTTTCCATTTATTCGTATTTTTAATTTTTTTCATCAATGTTTTGTAGTTTTTATTGTGGAGATTTTTCACCTTCTTGGTTAAGTTTATTCCTAGGTATTTCATTTTTGGTAGTTACTGTATTAGAATTGCTTTTTTGATTTATTTTTCAGAGAGTTCATTATTGGTATTTAGAAGTGTTACTGATTTTTTGTTTGTTTTTTGCCATTTATTTATTTATTTATTTATTTATTTATTTATATATTTATTTATTAATTTATTTTTGGGACAAAGTCTCACTCTGTTGCCCAGGCTGGAGTGCAGTCGCATCATCTCAACTGACTGCAACCTTCACCTCCTGGGTTCAGGTGAGTCTCATGCCTCACCTTCCCCAGTAGCTGGTATTACAGGTGCACACCACCATGCATGGCTAATTTTTTTTTTTTTTTTTTTTGGTAGAGACGGGTTTCACCATGTTGGAAAGGCTGGTCTCAAACTCCTGACCTCAGGTGATCCGCCCACCTTGTCCTTCCAAAGTGCTGAGATTACAGGCATGAGCCATTGTACCCGGAGTGATTTTTGTATGTATATTGTGTATCCTTCACATTTACTGAATTAATTTACCAGCTCAAAGACTTTTTTCATGGGGCCTTCTTGATTCTTTAGGTATATAATCACGGTGTCTGCAAACAGACAGTTTGATTTCCTTGTTTCCCATTGTGATGCCTTTTATTTCTTTCTCTGCCTAATTACTCTGGCTAGGACTTCCATACTAATGTTGGATGACAGTAGTAAAAGTTATCATCCTTCTGTTGTTCCAGATATTAGAGAAAAAGCTTTCAAATTTTTCCCATTTGGTATAATGTTGAATGTGGCTTTGCCATATGTTGCCTTTACTGTGTTGAGGTGAATTCTTTTTGTGCTTGATTTTTGAGAGATTTTATCATAAAAGTATGTTGAATATTATTGAATAATTTTTCTGAATTTATTGAGATAATCACATGGTTTTTGTCCTGGATTTTGCTAATGTGATATATCACATTTATAGATTTGCATATGTGAAACCGTTGTTACATCCCTGAAATGAATCTCACTTGATCTTTTTAATGTGTTTTTAAATTTGATTTGCTAGAATTTTGTTGAGGATTTTGTGTCTATGTTCATTAGGAATATTGGCCTGTAGTTTTCGTTTTTTGTTGTGTCATCATCTGGTTTTAGTATAAGAGTAATGCTTGCGTTGTAAAATGAGTTCATAAGCATTTCCTTCTCTTAAATGTTTTGAAGAGTTTGAATAGAACTGGTATTCTTAAATGTTTGGTAGCATTTAGCAGTGCAGCCATCAATTACTAGGCTTTTCTTTGATGACACGCCTTTATCAATGCTTTAATAATTTAATTACAATTAAATGTAATTGTAATTACATTTACATTGTAAATGTAATACTTTAGTTTAAGAATAATTAATACATGTTATTTATCTGCTCAGGTTTTCTAGTCTGCATAATTCAATTTTGGTAGGTTGTATGCACAGAGAAATTTCTTCATTTCTTGTAGATTGTTTATTTGTTGGTGTCAACTTGTACTTAATAGTCTCCTTATATCCTTTATATTTCTGAAGTATCAATTATAGTCTTTTTTATCACTAATTATATTTATCTGAGTCTTCTCTCTTTTGTTCATAGTCTAGTTAAAATCTTGTCAACTTTGATTATTAATTTACAAAACCAAGTATATGTTCTTTAATTTTTATATCGTTCTTTAAGTCTCTATTTCATTTAGTTCTGCCCTGATCTTTGTTATTTCCTTCCTTCTGCAACTTTGGGGTTAGGTTAGTTCATGTTTTTCCAGTTTCTTAAGCTATAACATTAGGTTGTTTATTGAGGTCTTTCTACTTTTTAATGTTTAGTTTAATTGGTATAAACTTCCCTCTTAGAACTATTTTTGCTGTATACTATAGGTTTTAGGATGTTGTGTTTCCATTTTCATTTGTTTCAAGGAATATTTAATTTTTTTTTTCCAATTTCCTCATTGACCCATTTGTTGTTTAGGAGCATGTTGTCTAAGTTCCATGTATTTATCCAGTTTCCAATCTTACTTCTCTTCTTGCTTTCTGGTTTTTTTGTTTTTCTTCAGGGTCAGAATAAATACTTGATGTAATTTTGATATTTGTAAATTTGTTAAGACTTGTTTTGTGACCTAACATTTGGTCTATTCTGGATAATGTTCCATGTGTTGTTGAGAACAATGTGCATTTTGTAGCTATTGGATAGAATGAATGCTCTGTAAATGTTTGTTAGGTCAATTAGGACTACAGTATAGTTTAACTTCAATGCTTTTTTGTTATTGTTGTTGATTTTCTGTATGGATGATCTGTCCATTGCTGAAAGCAGAGTGTTGAAGATTCCTACTAGTATTACATTGCCATCAACCTCTCTCATTAGGTCTGTTAATACTCGCTCCATACGTTTGGGTGCTCTGGTGTTGAGTACCTATATACTTTTAATTGTAAAAATCTCTTGAAACTTTATCGTTGTTTAATGCCTCCTTATCATTTTTTAACCTTTTTTTACTAAAATTATCTTATTCTCTATTTTTTCTTATTCTCTATTTTCTCTTATAGAATGGCTACTTTTGCTCTTAGTAGGTTTCCATTTACAAGGTATATCTCTTTTATCCCTTTGCTTTCAGTCTATGAGTGGCTTATAGTTGAAATCATTTTTAAGTAGACATGGTAAAATTAGGTCTTGTATTTTTTACTCTTTCATCAAATTTATGTCTTTTATGGAGAATTTAATTCATTTACAATATTCAAAGTTAGAGACGATAGCTAAGGATTTACTACTGCTATTTTATTACATGTTTTTTGGTTTTATTGTAGATTCTTTCCTTTTTTCTCTCTTACTGTGTTCCACTGTGGTTAAGTGATATTGTGTACCACTGTGTGTGTTCCATTGTAGTTAAGTGATATTCTTTAGTAGTGTGTTTTCATTCTGTGCCATTTGTTTTTGGCGTATCTATTAAAGTTTTTTGCTTTGTCATTACCAGGAGACTTACAAAAAACATCATATAGTTATAATATGTTATTTTAAACTGATGACAGCTTAACTTTAATTGCAAAGAAATTAAAAGAAAAAAAATGAACTCTACATTTTAACACCAGTCTCCCCACATTTTGACTTTTTGACTCTCAATTTACATCTTTTTATGTTGCTTATCTCTTAAACAATTGCAGCTATTATTGCTTTTGACATTTTTCACTTTTTGTCTTTATTAAAGTTATAAGTGGTTTACACATCACAATTATAGTAGCAAAGCATTCTAAATTTTTCCATATACTTCTATTTGCCAGTTAGTTTTATATTTTCAGGTATTTTTCTCTTACATCTTAGCATCCTTTTTTTTAAGATTGGACTCCCTTTAGCATTTCTTGCAAGACATGTTGGACATTGGTGAATTCCCTCAGCTTATGTTATTTATTTATTTTTCATCTGGGAAAGTTTTTATTATTGTTTTTGCTTTGAGACAGTCTTGCTCTGTCACCTAGGTTGAAGTGCAATGGCACAATTACAGCTGACTGCAGCCTCAACCTCCTGGGCTCAAGTATTCCACCCACTTCAACCTCCAGAGTAGCTGGGACTACAGGTGAGCATCACCACACCTTGCAAATTTTTAATTTTTTACTTTAGGTAGAGACAAGATCTCACTATGTTGCCCAGGCTGACCTTGAACACCTAGACTCAAGCAATTCTCCTGCCTCTGATTCCCAAATGCTGGTATTACAGGAATGAGCCACTGCCCTCAGCCAGATTGGGAAAGTTTTTATCTCTTCTTAATGTTGAAGAACAGCTTTGCTGGGTATAGTATTCTTAACTAATAGCTTTTTATAACTGTTTGTTCTTTCCTTTAGCACTTTAAATATATCATTGCATTGTCTACTGGCTCACAGGGTTTCTACTGAGAAATCTGCTAGAAGCCATATTGGGACTCTATGAAATATAATTTTTTCTCTTGTTTTTTCTAGTATTCTTTATTTGTCTTTGATTCTGATAATTTGATTATAATGTGTGTTGGGAAATTTCTCTTTGGGTTAAATTTGATTGATGAGCTCTGAGCTTCCTGTAAGTGTACAAGTATATGTAGATACACTTGCAGACATTATTTCCTTAAATGTGCTTTCTAGGCCTTTCTCTCTGTCATCTCCTTTTGAATTCCTATTATGTGGTGGTTAGTTCACTTGATGGAGTCCCATAATAGGCCTTCATTTTTTTATTTATATTTTTGATCCCCTGAATAATTTCATGGGTTATGTTTTTGAGCTTACTGGTTCTTTCCTTTGTTTTATGAAGTCTGCTGGAGAAACTAAGTTTTTAATTTCTGTTATTGTATTCCTTATGTCTATAATTTCTATTTTTTAATTGTTTCTATTTTTTGTCAAATTTCTCATTCTCCATCAGGTGTGGGGTAGTCTTTAGTAGGAAGGAGAAATTAATTGCCAAACTTTTAGTTGTTTCAAAGTCAGGGGAAGGCTCCAAAAGACTGCATGGTTGATATGGTTTGGCTGTGTCCTCACCCAAATCTAATCTTGAATTGTAACTTTCACAAATCCCACATGTCATGGGAGGAACCCAGTTGGAGGTGATTGGTTATGTAGTGGTTCTTTACCTGCTGTTCTCATGATAGTTAATAAGACTCATGAGATCTGATGGCTTTAAAAATGAGAGCTTGCCCACACAAGCTCTCTCTCTTCCTGCTGCCATCCATGTAGGACATTACTTGCTCCTCCTTGCCTTCCACCATGATTGTGAGGCTTCCCCAGCCACGTGGGACTGTAAGTCCGTTAAACCACTTTCTTTTGTAAATTGCCCAGTCTCAAGTATGTCTTTATCAGCAGCATGAAAATGGACTAATACAATGATTTTGTGGGAAATCCAGTAAGGGATTCAGGTATTCCCACAGATCATTCCTCCCTGCAGCACTATGACAGTGGCCTGTCTCCTCAGCACAGCATCCCTGTTGATTAGAACAGAGAGTAGCTGCCAACATCTGTGTATCATATTGATGAGTACCCCAATCTTTGTCTCTAGTTTACCTCAGGTGGTTCAGCCCTTCTGGCACTTTCATTGCTTCCTGTGGTACAGGACTGGAGTAGGCTTCCACAAAACTTCTCAGACCTGTAGGGAGATCAAACATCACCTTCAATTCACTTCTCCTACCTCAGAAATTCTGAGTGTAGGAAAATGGGTTGTTTTTACCAGCTTTGGGGTATAGGTGGTGTGGTCTAAAATAACAGTTCCTCTTACCGGTCAAGGTTTTTCTTGTTTCTGTGGATCCAAGTTCCTCCTCAAGTTTGCTGAATTCAGAGAGATTCTTAACTTTTGAGTAGTTGCTAGATATTCTGGGGAGAGTGATGATGAGGCATCTTCTGTTAAACCATCTTATTGGTATCATTCTGGCTCTCTCTTTTTCGGTGTTGGTCTAGCTAAAGATTTGTAAATGTTGTTAAACTCTTTAAAAAATCAACTCTTAGTTTCCTTGATTTTTTTCTATCCTTTTTCTACTCTCTATGTTATTTATTTCTGCTCTAATGGTTATTATTTATTTTTTCTCATAAGTTTGGGTGTAGTTTGTTCTAATACTTCTAGCTTCTTGAGCTGTGGAGCTAGGTTGTTTATTTAAGATATTTCTTCTTTTTAATGTATGTGCTTATCAATATAAACCTCTCCCCTAGAACTACTTTTACTGCATCATATATATATGTTTATATATATGTTCATATATATGTTTATATATATGTTCATATATATATGTTTATATATATGTTCATATATATATGTTTATATATGTTTATATATATGTTTATATATATACACACACACATATATATGTTATGCCTTTGATTTTATTGTCTGAATATATTTTTAATTTCTTTTTTGCTTTTTGACACATTGGTTGTTCAAGAGTTTGTTGTTTAATTTTCACTTATCTTTTAATTGTCCAGTTTTCCCTTGGCTACTATATCTAATTTCATTCTATTGTGATTGGAAAAGACATTTGGCATAACTATAGTCTTCCTAAATTTATTAAGACTTGTTTGTGACATAAAATGTGATCTGTTCAGAGGATAATCTGTGTGTAAGAGAAATGTGTATTCCTTTGCTCTTGGGTAAAAAGTTTTACATGTTTCCTTTAAGTCCATTTGGTCTATGATGTTGTTTAAGTCTTTTTTTCTTATTGATTTTCTGTCTGGATAGTCTATCAATTATTGAAATTGGAGTATTGAATACTTCTACTACTATTATGTTGCTTCCTATTTCTGCCTTAACTTCTGTCAATGCTTGCTTCAGATATTTAGAATATATAGCTTGAATATGTATATAGATGCATGTATGTTTATAATTGTTATACCTTCCTTATGAATTTACGCTTTGATCATTATATAATGTTCTTTTTTGTCAATTATGACAATCTAATGTAAAGTTATTTTGTATGCTATACCTATGGCAGCCTGTGCTCTTTTCTGGATTGCATCTGCATGAAAAATTTTTTCCACTCCTATGTTTTTAATCTATGTGTGTTCTTAAATCTAAACTGTGTATCTTGTAGTTAGCATATAATTGGATCTTTTTTAAAAATCCCTTTAGCTATTCTATCTTTTGACAGAGTTTAATCCATTCATATTTAAGATCATTATTGATAGGAAAAGGCTTACTACTAACATTTGTAAAATTGTTTTCTGTCCGTATTCTAGCTGTTGTATCTCTTTCTTTTCTTCTTGTCTTCCTTTGTATTTGGTTGATATTTATGGTGTGATGTGCTTTGATTCCTTTTTATTTTCTTTTTTGTATCACTTACAGGTATTTCCTTTGGTAACCATGGGGTTTACCAAAAATATCTTATGTTTATAACAATGTATTTTATTTGAACTTTAGTTATTTAAATTCAATAATTCAATAACATTTTAATTGAACTTATGTTCAATTGCATACAAACTAACCACCTCCCACTTTATGTTACTGATGTCACAAATTACAACTTTATATTGTTTCTATGAACAAATTTTATACTTGTAGTTATCTATACTTTTGTATTTTAACTTTTATACCAGAATTAAAAGTGATTTCGACACCACCATTACAGTATCACTGTATTCTCTATTTGTCTATATATTTTCTTATCAGTAAGCTTTATACTTCCATATGCTTTTGTGTTGCTGTTTGGTATATTTTTGTTTTAAATTAAAGGACATCATTTAGCATTTCTTCTATGACAGTTGTAGTGATAATGAACTCTGTAAGCTTTTGTTTATCCTGGAGAGTTTTCATCTTTTTTTCATTTTAAAGAAAAAATATTGATAAACATTGTAATCTTGGTTTCTAGTGCTTTTTTTCTTTTAGTACATTGACTGTATTATTCTATTTCCCCTGTCCTGAAAGATTTTGCTGAGAAATCCACTTGTAGTCTTATAATGGTTCCCTTGTATGCCATGAGTGGCTTTTCTCTTCTTGCTACAAAATTTTGTTTGTCTTTGAGTTTTGACCATTTGATTATAATGTGTCTTCATGTGTTCTTTGAGTTTACCCTGTTTGAATGTACTACAGCTTCTTTTATTGAGATATCCACTTCCTTCCACAGATTTGGAAAGTTTTCAGTCATTATTTCTTGAAATAAGATTTCAATTCCTTTCTCTTTTCCTTGTTAGACTTTCATAATGTATATATTGTTCTGCTGTATGTTATTTCACTAATATTTTAGGCTTTTTGCAATATTTTCATTCTTTTTTTCTTTTTACTCTTTTGATGGGACAATTTCAAATGACCTGTCTTTGCATATGTTTATAATAACTATTTTGAATTTTTAGTCAGGTAATTCATAAATCTCTCTTTTTTTAGAGTCATTTTCAAGAGATTTTTTTCTTCATTCAGTTTTCCTTGTTTCCTGATGTTACTTACAACTTTATAAGTTATGCATGCATTTGAAAAAAAGAGCCAATTTACCCAATCTTTACCAATTAGCTTTGGACAGAGAAAGACTTTCACCAGTCACCCTGGCTACAAATTCATGTGGCTTCTCTAGTCTTTTTTTTTTTTAATGCGTCTTCACTAGACTTGTTTATGTAGATTTCTATTTATAGGAATGTTCCAGTTGCTTTTTTTTCAGAAGCTTGTAATCTCTTCCTCTCTCTGTTATCTATATTCTGCATCATGGATTCCATGAGGCAACAGACCACCTCCCAGTTCTATTTTTTTTGTTCGCAGAGGCCCTTAGGCAACTAGAATATGCCAGGTTTCATAATTATTCTGAGTCAAACTAGAGAGAAAGCCGTCCCTCAGGCAACAATCTTGAATAGCCAGAACATTGGATGCATGATTCACTCTTCTCTTTCTCTGGAGGGAGAGGTTGCTGAGCTGTATTGGCTTCTGTGTGCTATACTACTGGTCCTCTAGAGCAGCAACACAGTGCCTAGTAAATGCATTATTTAAAGAAGGAAAAAAATTTGAAACCTTTAGAAAATTATCAGCATTTAGTGTTATAGGGATATATTAAATGAATAAGAAGTTATACAATAGTCATATATATATAGGACAATAATTTTTCACAAAATTTTTATACATACAATCAAAGTTTCAATGTATATTGAAAGCAAATGTGCAGAATAACTGACAGGCTAATTTCTCCATGTTTTTATTTTTTGGTGTTTTTTTCTGTAATTACTGTGTTTATAGACTGTCACACATAATTGTTAAATAGACAGTTAAACATTAAAGATAAAGAAAAGAAAATATTTAATGATTTCATTTGAAGGATTTTATATAACTGAAACTATAAGTAAAGTTATATATATTTTGTTGGATGATATATCATCTACTTATACTTCTGATATCAGCTTAATTATCACTTCCCAAGAAAGGCTTACATGAATTCCATGACGAGGTCAGCTTATAGTAAGCAAAACTAAATTTTCTCTATGTATTCTCTTATTAAAATTTGATACATATTAGTGGATTACATCACTTTGAAAAAAAACTATGGGAGTGGAGGTAAATGAATCTGACTGCAGCATAAAACCTTGATAGTATATATTAGTACCTTTTTTTTCAAAGCTGCTAAATTTCGTGGGTTTGTTGGAATGGCTCCCAGCATCATTCTCAGTCTGAAATGGTAAAGTAGGTGGTTTTCAGATTGAAGGGAAATCACAGAAAATTTCAAATCTGCCTACACATCTAGTAGCAACTGCCTATGGAATATAAGGGCTTTGGCTTCACTTTTGCCTTCTCAACATTGCACAGATTTCTATAATTGGCAAACTCTAGCCGATAAATGAGAACTATAAATGGGAAGCTGGCATTAGTAAACATAGTAAGAAACTAAGAAGGGAGTGCTTGTGGTGTCAAATTGACAACAGGCTATGTCCATGTAAAATCATAATGCTGCTGCTATCCATTTTCAGGTAGTTCCAGGTCATCATGTAATCCATGCAAAAATCATTTCTTCCTCAGTCAACAGGTTATAGGAAACTTCCCAAGAAGTCCTAACTACATGTTGAGGAAGAGGCTGTAATAAACCAAAAATAGGTGTGAACCATTGCTTTTATGCTACTTATTTGTGCTTTCAGAAGTTGGGTGGGCCAATCTTCTAAATACCACTTCTACTCTAAATATTCTGGCTTTAAAATATTAATATAGGTTTAACTTCCTAGATTTACATTAAGCTTAAACTGTTCTTGTAAAACAAATATCTTGGAGGAAAAAGAATATGCCATTTAAAGTCAAAGGAGTTGCCACTGATATTAGAATTTTTGATTCTCTGAAGATCTCAGCATGACATACCGAAGAAAAAGTGGTTGCTCAATCTTGCCTGGGAGTTGCTAAAATTATCAGAATTCCCTAAGAATCTTCCAGAAACTATGTCATTCTACAGTAATGAAAAAGGTGGTTCATCAAAGACTGTTTGGAAAACTCTTCGAATCTCCTATTTGCCAGTTCCTCTGGTGAAACTACTTCCGAAGAATAGTGATATCTATTTGTCTTTGCTTTCTAGATCTCACACACATTCCTGTCCTTGGCAAAATCTAAGCTGGGCTAAAGTACCCAGATAAATTTTGGAAAACCAAGTTTTCAGCATTGAAAGGAAGTGGTGATGGTGATGAGTTGCTGTCAGGTCATTCAGTACAATAAGTATGGCTCATGTCTATCACTTCCTTTTTCTATCTCATAGCTTTTTTGTTTTGTTATTAACAGTGAATACCTGATGTTAAAAATTTTTGGAAAAAATGGTTAAATTTTATACATCGTATATCCTTATTGTTTCCTATATCTCTCTGCAGTTGAGAAATGTACATACAGTATAATCTGCAATGTTACTTTATAGCTTACCCTTTAGAAACGTTTTAGTGAAGATAACTGTAATGTTTTCTATGCAAAACATTACTTTTACCCTTTGTAAAATTTTTCTTAAAGCCATTTACTGTAAAATAGTATTAGTTTGATATCCTTTTATACAAGTTAAAATTATTAAATGGTTTATAGCATTGTAACATGGTCTTACACTGATATTTATTAAAATGTATTTCTGTTATGTCATTATAGTAAATGCTAACAATTTTTCTGCAAAATTATGGAGTATGAAATTTAATTTTAAATGGCAATATTAACAATTTAAAAGAATATTTTAAATTTTATGGGTACATAGTATGTGTATATATTTATAAGGTACATGAACTATTTTGATACAGGTATACAATGCAAAATAATCATATCAGGGTAAATGGGGGTAACTGTCACCTCAAGCATGTTTCATTTCTTTGTGTTACAAACATTCCAGTTATACTGTTAGTTATTTTTAAATGTACAATAAATTTTCATTGACTGGAATCACCCTGTTGTGCTATCAAATAGTAGATCTTATTCACTTTATGTAACTATATATTTTTTAGTCAATTAAGTATCCCCACTTCTTCATCCCACTACCCTTCCCAGCTTCTGGTAATCATCATTCTACTCTCTGTCTCCATAAGTTGAATTTATTCATTTTTAGCTCCTACACATAAGTAAAAGCATGCATACTTTTTCCTTTCATTCCTGGCTTTTTTTTCTTAACATAATGTCTTCTAGTTCCATCCACGTTGTTGCAAATGTCAGGTTCTTTTTTATAGCTGAATAGTATTCATTGTAGATATGTACCACATCTTCTTTATCCAGTCATCTTTTGATGGGCACTTAACGTTGCTTCCAAATCTTGGCTATTGAGAATAGTGCTTCAATATACATGGGAGTGTTGATATCTCTTTGATATACTGATTTCCTTTCTTTGGGGTATATATCTAGCAGTGAGACTGCTGGGTCATCTGGTAGTCTGTTTTTAGTTTTCTCCATGCTGTTCTCCATAGTGGCTGTATTAGTATATATTCCCACCAATGATGCATAAGGGTACCATTTTCTCCACATCCTTACCAGCATTCATAATTGTCCATCTTTTGGGTAAAGTGATTTTAATTGGGGCGAGATAATATCTCATTTTAGTTTTGATTTGCATTCTCTGATGATCAATGATGTTGAGTACTTTCCCATATATCTGTTCGTCACTTGTATGTCTTCTTTTGAAACATGTCTATTCATATCTTTTGCCCATTTTTAATTGAATTATTAGATTTTTTTCCTTTGCAGTTGTTTGAGCTCCTTATATATTCTGGTTATGAGTCCCTTGTCAGATTGATAGTTTACAAGTATTTTCTCCCATTCTCTGGCTTTCTCTCTTCAATTTGTTAATTGTTAGTATTTACAATTTAGTGCTTAGAGATAACATAGATTGAAAAATATTTTCATAACATTTTTCTACTGTTTTAAATAATTTTATAGAGATATGTATATGTATATGTATTAGATCATGAAAAGAGCATTTATTGTACTCCTTATGCAACTATTTTCACCAACTTCGACTGTAGAGCAAGACTCATTCTCTGCATTCTGTTCAGTGCTATTTACTGTATGTTATAAGATAATGATTTATATATTTTGGAAGACAGGAATAAAAAGAGTTTATGATACTGCTGAAGGACTACAAAGCTTTATAAATGAAAAGATAAATTAAAGATTGCATTGTCCAAAAGTGTAAATTTATAGGTGTAAATCATAATACACATTAAAAAATCATGTGCTTATTTTCATAAAACTAGCTGGGGCAGAAATTTTAGTAAACTTCTTCGTGTTCAGTGTTTAGTCAATATCAATTCATTTCCTTTTGATGCATTATTATTTATTTTTTGAATTAATAGCATTCAAAGGGCTAGAACAAATTATGGACCTTGACCATTTTTTGCCCTAGTTCTATTTATGATTTTCTAAGGTTATTCTAAAAATCATCATATTACCTATACAGATACTGAGAAGTCAATTGCTCTCTACTAGTCAGATGTTTGCTTCTTCATAGACAGACCAGCAACAACATCCTATCTCTAACAAGATATTTCTGTTTCTTGTGTTCGTACACAGAAAGGTTTTATTTCCAATTCCCCTTTGTAGTTAGGTCAGGGGGCCATTTGGTTGGCCTATAGCCAATGGAAGGTGAAGAAAGTCATGTCAGTGACTTTCAGCTCTTCCCCTTTAAATATCTGGCATAACACTCTAATCAATTCCACTTATTCCTGAGGCTTTGAAAGCCACATAGACCAAGTCGTGTAAAATTAAGGTGGCAGCAACCTTGGTCTAACATTGGAGGAAAGCTGCCCAGTAGACTAACCAGTCTATAATCCAATTGAGGAATATTATTTTATGGTGTCGAACCTTTGTTACTTCAGTATTTATGTGTTATCTCACATAGCCTAGGCTTCAGTATTTATGTGTTATCTCACATAGCCTAGGCTCTTTAGTAGTTTAAGAAACAAGCATGACAAGGAATGTTCTTAGGACTATGTGTCAGAGTTATAAATGTTGACACTTAAAGAAAATATTCTATTTTTTAATTCATCGGATTCAGGCCAATTCATGTTTTCTGGGAACGTCTGAGAAAGGAAGAGGATATTAGATAGTTTCTGATGTCAAAAAATAAACTAATTGGCAACCAATTGAGATGACTTTTTAAAAGGCAAGATCACCTTTGCTAGAAAGTATTGCATGTTGGAATGACAATAATTTTGTTAGAAAACTATCCTAGTAAACTTGGAAAAATAGCATATTTTCTAATATTGTAATCATTTCTTTTTCTTTAAAAAAATAAGCAATATGCTGACCTCATTAAGAAAAAAAGAACATTAATTAAAAGCATTTGAATGTTTACCAGTGACAAAATACAAATGTCTTGCATAAAAAGTAGCATTTAAAATTATTGAGATTGTATTTTATTAGCAATGAGTCTTTCCTTAAATTTAATAGTTTAGTAATTTTTAACATCAAGAACAGAATCACTGTATAACCATCTGCAAATGCCCTGCACTATAAAAATAAAATACAGTAAAACATTTACAGCAGATTTCGTATGGTTTTGTGGTAGGACAAAGTCAATATTACAGTAATATTTTGTCTTTTTCTGCCTCGCAAGAGGCACAGTTCACAATTCACACATCACTTTTACTATATATAGTAGTACTTTCTAAGGTTTCAAGATAAGAAACTACCATGTCCTTATTTTAGCTACTTATTTTTAAAAGGAAACAACCAGTCTTAATGTTACATAATGACAGTGCTTATCTAACCTCCTAGAAAGGGAGTGTGCTGTGTAAATAATGAAGATTACTACCACTCTCCATTTCTCCCCATATTCTGCATTATGGCTTCTTGTCACAGTAATCAGTTGCTATTTTCTGTCATGTCTCAGGCATTCTATGTTATTAGAAAGGCAGAGAAGAATGATGCCAAACTAAGTCATAGAGAAATGACAGAAACTAATTTCCTTTCCATTTCTTTAAAACTTTTCTACAATGAGAGCTTCTATCCTATGATTTAATATATAGAAACCAATCCTTTCCTTGAGTATTATGTAAACTCCTACAACCTGCTGATGGATGGTAGAAATAAATGCTCACAATGCAATGTGATAAATTATATAATGATGGTCCATCCAAACTCTGAGGAATAAACCATACAGAGGTCAAATATATTTGAGCTATACATCTTGCATTTAGTATCTAATTATCCATATAAAATCCACTGCTAATAAAAGGATAATAATTGTGACTATGGCACTACAGGTAAATCCCCAAATTAAAGTTTCTTCTTATCAGTTCTTTGCTTCTAATTAATTTAGTTAATTCTTACTGTCATAAAACATTCAAATTAATAAAAGAAAATAAAAGACTTCTCTCTTCTGTCTCTCTGTCTCAACATTCGGAAATAAGTTGCCTTATTTTAATTATCAAGGCTATTTTTTACTTTCTCCCTCAAGGTAGTATTTATTCCTCTCAGTCATTATCATGCATAAACTTATGTAATATACCTGATATTTTAGAATCCAGTGATATAAATGATTGAACAACACTGGATCCAGGGCTAACTTAGAACATATTCTGATTTACCCTCCATATTTGATTTTGAACCAATGATTATCATTGAAATGACACTCATCTTCATTTGGACACAATGCAAGAGAAGCAGAATTGATTTGTGTTGTATGTAATGAATAAACATGTTTAGAACAGGTCTCTTTTTTTCTGATCATGTTTCTTTCTAAAACAAAATTGGCAGTTACTCAATATATCAAATAAGTCATCAAATTATTGAAGAATGGTATATGGGCCTAATTCTCATCTTGGTATTTACATAGCACTGGCTAGTGGAAGTTTATAAATGTTCAAGGAGTCAGCTACAATTGCCTTTTTCTGGTTTAGGTCAGACTCACTTTCACTATCTCTTCTACTTCTGTTTTTCTGTGTAAATATCAGATTGCTTTTGGCTAATGATAACATGCAGTAAAGAAAAAAGTGGTTTAGAAAGGTAAATATTTTCCACAATGTTGTAAACTTTCATTTTCACAAAATTGAACATATTCAACTCTCTCTGAGGCAACCTAATGGCTTATGGGTAAAGACATATTCTATATGTACCTTTCTACCAGCAATCAAAAAATGTATTTACATTTTTTTAATATATCATGATCATGATAAACAAGGTGTTCTATAGATAGACATTAATTTTAGCTGGATAAAACCTGGAAAATGTGTAGTTCAATTTAACGTGTATAAAATATCAATTTCTGTAGCTCTTAAAGAATATGTAATGTCTTAAGAATCTTTGACAAGACTGAATTTAATTGGTTATTTATATCTACTAAACTTGTTCTAAACTTTATTATGTTTTTTATTCTTTTATTAGTGCTGCATTTGTTTCCTTTTCCTCCAATTTTATTTGTAAATATATGGCATCTTAGTCACCTTGTTGATCCAAGACCAAACCAGGAAATCTAGAAACCATATCTAATGATGTTATCTCTATGCCAGATAGATCCCCAAATCCAATCACCCAATGCATGAACACAGTTAGAAACAGAAATCATTGGTCAATTAGTTCAATCATATAGTAAGATATTGATTTTTTATGACTTCATACATTTAAAATTAAATTATTTTCCCCAGTAGGTCTACAGAAAGTGAAACTGGTCCTATAGTTTTTAATATAATGTAATTAGTTCAGACTAAAATGTTGTTCAATTTAATTTGTCATATCATTAAAACTGTGTACTAATATTGCTTAAATGGCCTGCAATTTCGCTGATCAGTAGCAAAATCCAAGATGACCACCATAAAGTTATTTGGAGCCCAATGTAAGATAATTAAAATTAAGTGGGAAATTAAACAGAAAATTCTAGATATTTGTATATATTTTGAAATTTAGACAATATATCTAATTAGAATAGTTTTCTTATTAGTTAATCAATTAATTTTTTAGAGACAGGGTCTCCCTCTGTTGCCCAGCATGGAGTGCCATGGTGGTTAGAGCTTACTACAGCCTTGAATTCCTGAGCTCAAGTGTTCCTCCCACCTCAGCCTCCCAAGTAACTGAGACCACAGGTGCATGTTAGTACACCCAGCTAATTTTTTTTATTTTAAATTTTTATACAGATGAGGTCTTGCTATGTTGCTCAGGTTGGTCTAGAACTCCTGGCCTCAAGCAATCCTCCTGCCTCAGCCTCCCAAAATGTAGTATAATTTTCGGTATATAAATATCCAGAGGTAATTGATCTGAAATGCTAATTTGATATAATAAGAAGTATATACCCCAGTAGACAGATACACTTTTGCAGATATTAGCCTTAATTCTTTTTCAAAATTATTAAGAAAAGTCTTCCATAATTTATTATAACATTTTTAGGAATGCTTGAACTCATTTTACTTCTTTGTGTGTGTTGCCTGAGAAAAGGATTTTCTACATCTTAACACTCAGATAATCTGCAGAAAAAAATTATAAGTCATTAAGTAAACAGAGTCAATTGTAGTTTGAGATCTATAAATCCCCTTGCTGGCTCTGGTTTTCTCTACCACGGAGTGAGCCTGGGACATTGACAGATTCCAGTACCTTTTCATGAAACAAAATAATTTTTAGTGTAGTTCTGAAAGTTCTCAGGTAAGGAAACATGCCCTCTAGTATGTATAGAGCAATGAGGCAACTTCTATATATTCTTTGGATTTTCTCCTCATCTAGAAATTTAAGTAGGCTTTTAGAATTAAAAAAAATGTGTGTACCCACATTAGTGATATATTGCCTGAAGTTTCAGGCAATATATTATTAAATATAATATGTTAAGAAATATTTGTTTTGTCTCTGATGTGCTTTTTTTCTGAATCTTTGAAACAAACAGGAAAAGGTTATAATTAAAACTGCATTTATTGAACACCAACATATGCTAATTCTGAATTTATTCCCATTGCATCCTAATTAAAATACCTCTTTTATCTTCAAAGCGAGAAGAAATCAGAGAAAAGGAAGGAGTAATAAAATATTGAAAACCTCATATTGGCATTCTATTGAATTATTTTTAATGCAAAGAGGAATACTTAATGGTAATAAATGTTTAAGAAGAAAATATGAGGGCTTTCTGAAATTTTTTTTCTTCATATTTTAGTTTCTGCTCTGTGAAATCCATTATTAATTTGTAATTCTTGGATTAAAACTCAGATGAATCTGATGTACTGTTAGGTAGGTCTTTTCAGCTGTCAACTTTAAACAACACAGAAGGGCATAGTTTGGTAATGCAGGAAAATCTATGACCAGAATCTGAACTATATTCAAAAATGCATTATTGACAGTAGAGGCAATGTATAAGCAGTCAGGCCCCAATAGTGGCTAAGACTTTCAGCAGTATCTAATAGAGCTGATAATAAGAAAGACATATGGAAGTTCACTATAAACTGGAGAATCTTGGTAAATCATTTCCAAAGCAAGCTCGCATTGTTTAGGATTGAATGAATCATAAATACCAGTGAACAATTTGATATTCATGAAATTTTTCCCATATGCTTTTTGGACAAAATTAGTGTTTAGCCTAAATTCAAGTGATATTTTTCAAACTATTTATTATTTTTCAAATTATTTTTAATTCATTTTTTTTAAAAAAAGACAATTTTAGGGTAGTGAATGAAAGTGAATAAGAAAATCCAATTTGGGGCCGGGCACGGTGGCTCATGCCTGTAATCCCAGCACTTTGGGAGGCCGAGACGGGTGGATCATGAGGTCAGGAGATTGAGACCATCCTGGCTAACATGGTGAAACCCCGTCTCTACTAAAAATACAAAAAAAAAAAAAAAAAAATTAGCCAGACGTTATGGCGGGCGCCTGTAGTCCCAGCTACTGGGGAGGCTGAGGCAGGAGAATGGAGGCCTGTGTAGCCAATGTCAGCAAGTGTGTTCCAGGCTCTTAATGTTCCTTGAATTTTTTTGTTGTTTTCTCTTTAGTGACCATGTTTATCCCACATCAAAAACTGCTTCATGTACTAAAGGCTTGGCATCATCTAGTTGTGTATTTTCTATTCAGAAGATATTATCTACCCACCTTATTGTGCATGACATCCCAAATGACATTTTGGAAGATTTTTCCTTTCCCAGTTGTGAGATAAACTAACGTAATTTCCTCCATAGACCCCTATCATTGATGCAGGCAAGACTATTCAACACTTATCCAATGATTTAAATGTTTAATGAGGGTTAGTGATAGACCCCATTATTAAACAAAATTGCACTGTAATATGATGAGACTTTATCAATCCACACCTCTTTCTCTGTCTTCAGTTCATTACCAGGAATCTGATGTCAGTTCTCAATATAAATCAGCTCTGAATGGCTGGGGTAATGACATAATGGACATACTTTGGTTGTTTTTTTCAGTTAATTGCTTTGAAATATTGCTAATATATTTTGCATTTTCTTCATTCACAAGTGTATTTCATTAACAGTGTTTGACAATTGTGTATTATCCAAATATTGTGCCTGTTGCTAGAAGAAATGATGAGCAAAATCACAAAATCAAAAGATTTTCAGGAATCGAGTTTCTTATTTCTGATATGTAAAATTCTAGGTGCTTTTCTCTAATATGTAAAATTTACGTAAGTTGATTAGTTTAAAGTAGAATGTTTAAAACAAATTAAGACAGATATGGGGAGTATAGGATAATTATAAATAATCAGAAATTTAAATCAACTATTGATAATTCTACATCTGAGAGGCTAAAAAGAAGATTATTATGCTTCTGAAAAAATTCAACACCTCTTAATATTTATTTAGGGAGACAGTTTTGCCACATATGTGGGAGTAAAGATCTACCTTTCTGAGTTAATTTGAGGTGTTTATATGTTTCCTAATTTTTGCTGTTACTTAATGAAGTTAATAAAGGTGATGATGTTACTGCAATACATATTTTTATTTATCTGAGTTTTATGTATTGTAAATGTTCACAGCTACTTTGTGAGAGTTTTAGTACCTTGGCTAAGGCAACAGAATATACACTATAAATTTCCTAATGACGACTGTATGAGTTACATTTCTTCTTTTTGTTGGTAAAAAAGTAGACCAATTGAAGTATTCTTCTAAGGGTGGTAAATGGTACAACTAGATGCGGGAGGTAGAAAGTCAATGATATTACCCTACATATTAGGGTAACTAATTTTTAATTTATGCTTTTAAAGTTTAAATATTTTGGCCCGGCGCAGTGGCTCACGCCTGTAATCCCAGAACTTTGGGAAGCTGAGGCGGGCGGATCACGAGGTTAGGAGATCGAGACCATCCTAGCTAACAAGGTGAAACCCCCGTCTCTACTAAAAAATACAAAAAAAATTAGCCGGCACGGTGGCGGGCGCCTGTAGTCCCAGCTACTGGGGAGGCTGAGGCAGGAGAATGGCAGGAACCCGGGAGGCGGAGCTTGCAGTGAGCGGAGATCACACCCCTGCACTCCAGCCTGGGAGAAAGAGCGAGACTCCGTCTCAAAAAAAAAAAAAAAAAAAAAAATTTAAATATTTCTCCAAGCCTTGTAGTTTATGGATTCCATATATGTCAAATTATATGTAATATGCAACATTATTATTAATATTATTTTTATACTATTACTTATTTCTAGATATTTTAATTTTTATTGAGATTTATTCTTGAGTTATGGGGTATTTTAACATTGTTATGTGAATCTCCAAACTTTGTACATTTTCTGGTATTTTCTGTATTGCTTTCTAACTAAATTTCACCGAGGTTAGAGAATATTTTTTATCATTTTAATAATTTGATATCTGTTGAAACTTGTTTTATTGGCCCACCGTATAGTTTATTTTGGAAAATGTTTCATAAGTACTTGAAAATAATGTATATTACGCGGCCACATTAGAAAAAGCATCTGTAGTTTTTAAGATTCTCTAAGTCTCAGTTTCTTCAACAAAAAATGAAGAACTTCCTATTGTGGTTTTGATTTGCATTTCTCTAATGATCAGTGATGATTAGCTTTTTTTCATGTATTTGTCAGCCACATAAAAGTCTTCTTTTGAGAAGTGTCTGTTTATATCCTTCGCCCACTTTTTGATGGGGTCGTTTGTTTTTTTCTTGTAAATTTGTTTAAGGTCCTTGTAGATTCTGGGTATTAGCCCTTTGTCAGATGGATAGATTGCAAAAATTTCTCCCATTCTATAGGCTGCCTGTTCACTCTGATGATAGTTTCTTTTGCTGTGCAGAAGCTCTTTAGTTTAATTAAATCCCATTTGTCAATTTTGGCTTTGTTGCCATTGCTTTTGATGTTTTAGTCAGGAAGTCTTTGCCCATTGTCCTGAATGGTATTGCCCAGGTTTTCTTCTAGGATTTTTATGGTTTTAGGTCTTAGGTTTAAGTTTTTAATTCATCTTGAGTTAATTTTTGTATAAGGTGTAAGGAAGGGGTCCAGTTTCAGTTTTCTGCATATGGCTAGCCAGTTTTCCCAACACAATCGTGTCAGTTAGAATGGTGATCATGAAAACATCAGGAAACAACAGATGCTGGAGAGGATGTGGAGAAATAGGAATGCTTTTACACTGTTGGTGGGGATGTAAATTAGTTCAACCATTGTGGAAGACAATGGGTGATTCCTCAAGGATCTAGAACCAGAAATACCACTTGACCCAGCAATCCCATTATTGGGTATATACCCAGAGGATTATAAATCATTCTACTATAAAGACACATGCACACATATCTGTATTGCAGCACTATTCACAATAGCAAAGGCTTGGAACCAAGCGAAATATCCACCAATGACAGACTGGATTAAGAAAATGTGGCACATATACACCATGGAATACTCTGCTTCCATAAAAAAGGATGAGTTTATGTCCTTTGCAGGGACATGGATGAAGCTGGAAACCGTCATTCTCAGCAAACTAACACAGGAACAGAAAATCAAACACCACACGTTGTCACTTATAAGTGGGAGTTGAACAATAAGAACACATGGACATGGGAGGGAACATTACACACTGGGCCTATTGGTGGGTGGGGGACTAGGGGAGGGATAACATTAGGAGAAATACCTAATGTAGGTGATGTGTTGATGGGTGCAGCAAACCACCAAGGCACGTGTATACCTATGTGACAAACCCACACATTCTGCACATGTATCCCAGAACTTAAAGTATAATTTAAAAAAAGAAAATATAAAAAAGAGAAAAAGAACACCTTCTTTGTAAGGATTAAATATTATACTATCAGGTGCCTAAAATAGTTATTTCCCAGCATAAGAAGAACTATATCAGTTCTTGGCTATGTGAGTTTTCTTGGATTTTTTTAGAGATGCTTAATCCAATAGAAGATATTATATCATGACTGGTATTTAAAATCTTGAGACATTTTTGAAAACACAATAAAATGTTTTTTACAACATATTTATCTGAAGGACTGTTTTCTTAAATTTTATGGAATTATTTATTAACATAATAAGCAGATACTAAACAGATAACATATCCTCACTTAGTTGTATGTATTTTGAGCCACAATTCTTTTCCTTGGATAGTGGAATTTGTATTCCTATCTATTAATAATTATTAATAATCAGTGTTATAGAAAAAAATTAAGGATGGAATTCTGATTCTATCTTCATTGTAGCCAAAAGTTCTTATGTATTTTATTTATCTTCCCACCGTGGTTACCTATGTAATATTTGTTTAAACTTTGAGATTCAGAAAAGTATTTAGTTATTCTAAGTTTGAGTCTTTCTTTTCATTAACACTGGTTGGCATTCAACATTCCCTTTTATTTTTAAGGAAACAAGTTTTTCTTCAAGGAGCACTATTTTGTAAATGCCTATTCAAATATCTGGTGATTCTTTTTCTCTTAGCTCATTCTGACATAAGGAACACTGATTTTTTTACTATTACTGCCTAAAATGTTAATAGTTTTACATGCTTATTTGCTCTTTAGTATCCCACAGAATTCTGCTGCAGAACAGCTCCTTTTCTTATTCTACACCCTTTCCTTAAGTAATCTCATCATTAATTTAAATATCTCATATAGCAGAAAGATTATGTTTTCATCTTTGGGCACCTACACTTCGGTATAATATCTGTCTCAGTGCCAATTACATATAAAGTACTAAATAAATGTAAGCTGAGCTCAGCTTCTGAAATTGAAGGGACATGCATTAAAAGTATTGAGTTAGGTCACTTGTGCAATCACTTTGGCAAAGAAAATTAGAGTACAAGTAGTAATCATAAGATAAATAATAGTCAAGCAAATTTTTTAAAGCAGTGAACACAGGTGATTATGTTAGGAAATGAATTTCAAAGGCATTAGTAAGGGAAATTCAAATTAATTTTAAAAACTAAGGAATCCAACAGTATTCAAATTATTATTTCAAGCTAATTGCTATTTTCCAGCCAATGACATTTTCACTCCGAATACATCTGTAATTTTATATTAGTGCTTTAATAAACATTTATTTCTAAATATACATTAAATCATGAAATACGTTTTTAAGATAATACTGACACCAATATTTAAGTAGAATCCCAAACCCAAGATCTTAGTAGAAATAGTACATTTAAACCAAACCAAAGTAAAATTAAATAAAGGCATTGAGTAGAAACACGAAAAGGAGAAAAAATAAAAAGCAAGATTGATAGAATGTTCACAAATAAGGGACCGAATCATCATGTTCTTAGTAAACTTTATATCCCAGTAGATTTATTTTCATCTGATTGGATTCAGGTATCTAAAAACTGTCTCTCTGTCATTCTTTTTTTTTCGTTTTTTTGAGACGGAATCTCACTCTGTCGCCCAGGCTGGAGTGCAGTGGCTCAATCTCGGCTCACTGCAAGCTCCGCTTCCAGGGTTCACGCCATTCTCCTGCCTCAGCCTCTCGAGTAGCTGGGACTACAGGCGCCCACTGCCACACCCTGCTAATTTCTTTCTTTTTTTTTTTTTTTTTTTTTTTTTGTATTTTTAGTAGCGACGGAGTTTCACCGTGTTAGCCAGGGTGGTCTCAATCTCCTGATCTCGTGATCCACCCACCTCAGCCTCCCAAAGTGCTGGGATTACAGGCATGAGCCACCGCGCCCAGGCCTCTCTGTCATTCTTATTAACAAATTTAAGAATATACATTATCCTCTCTTTTTAAGAGTTTTATAATGCCCAGCTTCTAATATCTGAAATGGTTCACTACACCTTGTAGACGAAAGTGCCAAACAGGATGTTATACCTCCCTGTTTATTTCCTATTTGATCATTATTAATGCATAAAACAAAATGAAAAAGGAAATGGAATATTGACATTCATTTTTTAATAATTATTTTTGAAAAACACAAATGTAAAATACCTATATAATCTGTGATTTTATGTGACTACTTGTTTTTATATTACACAGAACAGTTTGTTACTTAAATTGTGATTTATAAATTTAATGTTTAATGTGATTATTTGTGTTATTCAGAACAAGAGTATATTCCCTGCCTCCCACCAATTAGCTATTATAAACTTTTATAAGAGTCCTGGGAATTATTAATATTCATGTAAGCAAATATATAAATAATTGATTATAATACATTTATATGTATTACAAATGATAATGTATGTAGTAATATGACAATACTAGTAATATTTGTACTTAATACTAATATATATGTATATAAAGTATATTTAATAAGTAATGCAGTATATTACTAATATGTACAAATATTACATATATAATTAATATATTAACAAATATGTACATATCAAAGCAATCAAAGCAATCAATGCATGCATAACTACAGCAGTTCCCAACTGTATTTTCATGCCCTTATTGGAAGTTGGTATTATCTCTGTCTTGTATTCCTACTTCTGGTTTCCCCTGGTCTTCAGCCAGCCCCTAATTTGCTAGCAGGTCTTTAACTTATCATCTAAACACATTTTTTCTTCCTGAAATACTTATGCTGTTAGTGGCTCTGACTATTTTGAGTTGCTGTAGCTTTCTAGTATCTTGAAGTACTGGTCATGGGAGTGCTAAGAAGCACCTCAGAGAATCCCCCTGAATTTCTTACCTACTAACTCTTGCTTCTATTATACAGTGGTGAACTAATTACTGCTTGACTGTTGGGTTCAACCACCAAGACAATAGAGCAACCTCATTATTTGAGGTTCAGTAGAATGTGTAGCCCAAAGTCGCCAGGAGGCAGTTTCCGTTTCTAGCTTAATGAAAAACTATGTTTTGTCCTCTGATGAAATATTTCCTCCTTTAAGAAATAAAATCTCTAAACCAATTTTTTTAGTGGATAATTAGGAGTAATAATGAGAAAAACTGCTTTGTATTTTACCTATTATTTTGTAGACCTCTGGCTAAATGTATAGATGATAGGTAGAGATATAGAGTGCGCTCTCTCTCTCTCTCTATATATATACACACACACACATATATGTATACATAAAGATATGTTACATATGCATAGATAGGTAGATAGATAGATAGATGATAGATAGATAGATAGATAGATAGATAGATAGATAGATAGATAGATACACATATAACTTATCTTTAAAAACAGCACACAAACTTCACATGGTGTTTTCTCAGGCAGGGCTAGCTTTGAGTTGTCTCCATAGCTGTTCCAATTCCGTATGAAGCCAACTGCTTCAGGGTGATAAGGGTATGGTAAGACCATCAAATTTCATGAAGACAGGGTGATAGGGGTATGGTAAGACCATCAAATTTCATGAAGACAGGGTGATAGGGGTATGGTAAGACCATAAAATTTCATGAAGATGAGCACCATTACATTTCTTTACTCTGTAAAATAAACTAATTGATCGGTGGTGATTCCATGTAATATTCTAGGGGGTAAATAAGGTGCTCTCTAAACCACAGATACTATTGCTGGCAGAGCATATCAGGCAAGAAATAACAATCCAGATGAAAATTAACTATCTATTCTAATTGGGACCAACTGCTACCCCTTCCAAGATGAAAATTGTGCACTATAATCAGTCTGCCACCAGGTGGCTAGCTTGTTCTCAAGGAAAGTAGTCACATCACCAGGTTAGTGTTAATCTTTGCTATTGGTAGGTAAGGAAAAGCCCTTGGTTGTGTCATGTACTAACTTCATCCTACTCTCATTGGTTCTTTTTATTTTTTTCATTTTCTCCTGAGTAACTGGGACTACTGGTGTGTGCCACCACACCTAGCTCTTGCCCCCATTCCTCGTGAGGCTTATTGAATAAGGGTTAGGGAATGGGTTGTCTGGTCCACTGAATTAATGGCAGACTCCTGTTCAGTGGCTGTCCTTGTTGCAACCATGAGTATTCACATATTCACAAATATCTGGACTCTTGTATCTCGTTTTCAGGGGTCTATACACATACCATTCCCAGATCTCTTTATCAATAATTATAGTTTATTTTTTCCCTGAATTTCCCTCAAAGCCTTTGGCTACTTCCCATGGGTCAGCCATAGCTCTTGCCATCTTTCTTTTTGGATAAAGGGAACCACTAAGTGAATTTCTCAGATATCTGTCCACTGGCTAGATTTATTTCCCTAAAGTGTTTCCAATCCACCCTGGGCAATACTGTAATGCCACATCATTCACATTTAACTCATGCAAGCACAGGGTTTAAATCTACCAGTAAACTATGGCTGTGCTTTTTATTCACTCACCAAAGAGTTTTAAGAAACTTAATGTTAGAAGGATGGATTTAGGAAGAGGGACAACTGTAGGAGGAGTTGACTATGGAATTATTAACTTGTTCAAGAATTTAACTTGCTCATGAATTAACTTTCTTATGAAACTTATCTGTGCCATCAGATGCTGCTCAATACTGATCTTGTTTATACTAATTGTATTTGATAATTTTATGTATGTTCTAACGTACATAAAAATTATGGTAGGTCAGACTTCTATTCACAATAGGTAAATAATATTTTTTTTTCTCATAAGTAAGTCAAATAATGCTTCAGGAGGTTGCTGATCTACTACACTTCCAAGTTACATTGACTACTACCAGAAATATCTATTTGTTTCAAACCATTCTTATGATATTTATTTTTTTTTTTTTGAGATAGAGTCTCGCTCTGTCACTCAGGCTGGAGTGCAGTGGCATGATCTTGGCTCATTGCAACCTCTGCTTCCCGGGTTCAAGCAATTCTTCTGCCTCAGCCTCCAGAGTAGCTGGGACTACAGGGTTTCACTGTGTTGCCCAGGCTGGTCTCAAACTCCTGAACTCAAGCAATCTGCCTGCCTCGGCCTCCCAAAATGCTAGGATTACAGGCATGAGCCACCATGCCCGGCGACCATTCTTATGACTTTTTAAGGCTGCTTTCCATTTTGGTAACCATGGCCCTCTTGTGTCTGGTAGTGGCTATTTGCTACTGTATTAGGGTTCTCTAGAGGGACAGAACTAATTGTGTATATGTATATGTATGTATATATATATATGTGTATATATATATATACGTGTGTGTGTATATATATATATATATATACGTGTGTGTATATATATATATATATATATGTATATATATATATGCATATGCATACATACATATACACAAAGGGAAGTTTATTAAGTTTTAACTCACACAATCTCAAGGTCCCACAATAGGCTGTCTGCAGGCTGAAGAGCAAGAAGATCCAGTTTGAGTTCGAAAACCGAAGAACTTGGAGTCCGATGTTTGAGGGCAGGAAGCATCCAGCATGGGAGAAAGATGTAGGCTGGGAGGCTAGGCCAGTCTCCCTTTTCACATTTTTCTGCCTGCTTATATTCTAGCCATGCTAGCAGCTGATTAGATTGCACCCACCCATATTAAGTGTGGGTCTGCCTTTCCAAGCCCACTGACTGAAATGTTCATCTCCTTTGGCAACACACTCACAGATACATCCAGGATCAATGCTTAATATCCTTCGATCCAATCAAGTAAACAATATTAACCATCACAAGTCCACCTCTTGTCAACTTGAACCCATACACATTTCCTGAGATAATAATCTTCAAATAAAGACAATAATATGGTCATAATTACACCTAACATAATACAACTATCCTTCATACAACTGGAGGCACACCAATCCCCAACCCAAATGCTACTAAATAAAGTTAAGAATACTTGAATGCTGAAGTGAAGTCAATAAATCTTATGTCACATGGCAAAGGAGAAAGGAAATAAAATGAAGATATTTTCCTAGTACAAGTGTATACATGCATAAACATGTTTTTATCAAAAACAGGAGGAAATACTCATGACAACTACAGTCCTCCTTTCTGCAACTGGTCACGTAGTTGTAGCTGGTATTGATGACTACCTTCTTCTACTACACATTCTGTATTCCCTTTGCCTTAAGCAAGCACCTCAGCAGGTCATGATTTTTTCCTGGTGGAGCGACCCAAACCTTCATTCCTGAAGGGTCTCGGTCATTTGTAGTTCTGCCTGGATTGGGCTGTTGTAGTTTCCCATCGACCTTAATCAAAGGGCATGATAATACTAAGTGATGTCCTAATGGATCTCCTGTGTTCCATGCATACTCTTCCTTACCTCCATTGTGGAGTAGTAGACTGATTTCATCTTGATAGTCCACATCAATCACCCCAGCCAACCCTGTAACTCCCTTCTTAGACTGCTCACTTAAAGGTAGGAGAAGCCCAAAATGTCCAGGTGGCAATCTTAACTTCCAGTTTAATGGGATTGTTGTGTTGTGTCTCCTGGTGGCAGTGTTCCTCCCTCTGGAACTAAGACCTCTAGGCCAGTAGAACATAATGTCAGGGGAATAGAAAACAAAAATTTTGCTAGTGGATCACTAGGGGTGATGGTGAGTGGTGTCACTTCCATTTCCACCCCTTGATTCCTGAACCTATGAATCCTGTCTGTGGGAGAAACAGTACCATATATTGGATGCTGATTCAGAGCATACAAAGCCTTCTAGAAAACTTTGTCCCAGCCCTGCAAAGTATTGTCATATAGTTGGCATTGTAATTGTGACTTCAAAAGGCCATTCCACCATTCTGTCAATCCAACTGCTTCCAAGTGATGGGGAAAATGGTAAAGCCAGTGAATCCCATGAGCACGAGGCCATTGCCACACTTCTTTAGCTGTGAAGTGAGTGTCTTGTTTAGAGGCAATGCTGTGTGGAAGACCATAATGGTGGATAAGGCAGTCTATGAGTCCACGGATGGTAGTCATGGTACAAGCATTGCATGCAGTATAGCCAAACCCATATCCGGAGTAAATGTCTATTCCAGTGAAGACAAACCTGTACCCTTTCCATGATGGAAGAGGTCCAATATAATCAACATATAATCAGGTAGCTGGCTGATCACCCCGAGGAATGGTGCCATATCGAGGGCTCAGATTTGGTCTCTGCTGCTGGCAGGTCAGACTTGGTGAGTGGAAGTCCATGATGCTGATCCCATACATGACACTCATCCCTGCCACCATGGACATTTTTTCATGGGCCCATTGGGCAATGACAGTGGTGGCTGGGGAAAGAGGCTGAGTGGTGTCCACAAAACAGGTCATCCTATCCACTTGATTATTAAAATCCTCCTCTGCTAAGGTCACCTGTTGGTGAGCACTCACATGGGAAACAAATACCTTCACAGTTTTTGACCACTCAGATAGATCCATCCTCATAACTCTTCCCCAAATTTCATTGTCACCAATTTTCCAATCATGCTTCTTCCAAGTCCCTGATCATCCAGCCAAACCATTGGCTAAAGCCCATGAATCAGTATATAATCACACATCTGGCCATTTCTCTTTCCATGCAAAATGAACAACCAGGTGCACTGCTCAAAATTCTACCCACTGGGAAGATTGCCCTTCACTGCTGTCCTTCAAGGATGTCCTAGACACTGGCTATAGTGCTGCAGATATCCACTCTTGAGTGGTGCCTACATATCATGCAGAACCATCTGTGAACAAAGCCCTAGTCTTCTCTTCCTCTGTCAGTTGATCATAGGAAACTCTTCATGAGGTCATCAGTGCAGGCCGGGGAAGAGAAGGCAGGGTGGCAGGAGTGGAAACCATGGGAATTTGAGCCACTTCCTCATGTAACTTACTTGTGGCTTCAGGACTTGCTCTAGCCCAATCACGTATATACCATAACACTTCCATTTGATGATGGTATGGGGCTGTGCACACCCCATTTTATGGCTAGATGGGTCAGGAAGAACCCAGTTCATGACAGGCAGTTCAGGTCACGGTGTGATTTGATGACCTATAGTCAAACGTTCAGTCTCCATCAAAGCCCAGTAACAGGCCAAGAGCTGTCTCTCAAAAGAAGAATAGTTATATGCAGAAGATGGCAGGGCCTTGCTCCAAAATCCTAGAGGCCTCTGCTGTGATTCACCTATAGATGTCTGCCAAAGGCTCCAAACAGCATCTCTATTTGCCACTGACACTTCAAGCACCATTGGATCTGCTGGGTCTGTGGCCCAAGTGGCAGAGCAGCTTGCATAGCAGCCTGGACCTATTGTAGAATCTTCTCATGTTCACTACCACAGTCAAAACTGGCGGCCTTTTGGGTTACTCAATAAATGCATCAGAGTAACAAGCCCAAATGAGGAATGTGTTGCCCCCAAAATTCAAATAGGCCCACTAGGCATTGTGCCTCTTTCTTGGTTGTAGGAGGTGCCAAATGCAGCAACTTACCCTTCACCTTAGAAAGAATATCTCAACAAGCCCTACACTACTGTACCCCTAGAAATTTTACTGAGGTAGAAGTTCCCTAAATTTTAATGGTATTTATTTCCCATTCTCTGGCATGTAAATGTCTCACCAATAAGTCTATTGTGTTTGCTACTTCTTTCTCACTGGATCTAATCAGCATGAAGTCATCATTGTAAGGGACCAGTGTGATATCTTGCAGAAGCAAAAGGTGATCAAGGTCTCTCCAAATATGATTATGACACAAAGCTGGAGAGTTGATATACCCCTGAGGAAGGACAGTAAAGGTACAAAGGTACATTGCTGGCCTTGCCAGCTGAAGGCAAATTGCTTGTGGTGGGCCTTATGGACTGGAATAGAGAAAACGGCATTTGCCAAGTCAGTGGCTGCATACCAGATACCAGGAGATATGTTAATTTGCTCAAACAATGAAACCACATCTGGTACAGCAGCTGCAATTGCAGCCATAACTTGGATAAGATTACAGTAATCCACTGTCATTCTCCAAGATCCATCTGTTTTCTGCACAGATCAAATGGGAGAGTTACATGGGGATGTGGCGGGAATCACCAACTCTGTGTCTTTCAAGTCCTTGATGGCGGCACTAATCTCTGCAAATCTTCCACAGATGCGATATTGTTTTTGATTTACTATTTTTCTAGGTAGGGGCAGCTCTGATTACTTCTATTTGGCTTTCCCCACCATATTAGTCCTCATTCTATCAGTCAGGGAGCCAATGTGGGGGTTCTGCCAACTGCTAAGTATGTCTATGCCAATTATGTATTCTGACTCTGGGGAAATGACCACAGGATGAGTCTGGGACCCACTGGACTAACTGTAAGTCAGACTTGAGCTAAAACTCCATTAATTACCTGACTTCTGTAAGCCCCTACTTTAACTGGAGAACCACAATGACATTTTAGATCCCCTGCAATCAACATCAGCTCAGAGGCAGTGTCCAGTAGTCCCCAAAATGTCTGATCATTTCCCTTTCCCCAATGCACAGTCACCCTGTTAAAAGGCCAGAGATCTTCTTGGGGAAGGAGGGGAGAAAGATTCACTGCATAAATTGTCAGTAGTGTAGTGGGATCCTTCCTAAAGGGGACCCAGCCTCCCCTTCATTCAAGGGGTTTGGGGTCTGTACACTGGCTCCTGTCTGGAAATTGATTGAGAGGCCATGATTCTCTGTTTTTATAATTCAAATTAGTCTTTTGTTCATCTGACCTAGAAGCTTTCTGCTTATATAAGTTAAGTAGGAATACAGTAAGCTTACTATCAATTTCACTTCTAGGAACACTTTGATTAATTAGCCAATGCCAGAGCTCTACACAAGTCAGACTATTCTGATTGCTGCTTTGCCTCTGCTGTCCATTATGGTAGCTCCTCCCACCTTGCTTTTGCTGGGGTCTGTTCTGCAGATACTGACTCAATGACAGATGAATAACGTACACCAACACAGACATTCTGCTTGTCAGTCCGGTTGAGTTTCCGGGCAACTTACAGACTCAAAGGAGAATGCTGTCAGCCGCAGCCCCAACTTACTGGCCCTCCTAGCATTTATTCAGCAAACATTAGATGACAAAAGTCTCAAGTAAACACCATTAGAGGGTAATCAACCTGATCTCCTTCCCCTCCCCACCACCAGAGTGCCATCCTGCCTGCAAATGATCAAAGGTTAGTTTTAGAACCACATGAGTAAACAAGCTATTTAGATAGACTTCTCTACATTCCTGTTAATTACCCTTGCTATAGCTTAAAGAGAATTAGGCTGCCTTCAGCCAAACTATCTGAAGCTATGCAAAAAACCTTTTGGACTTCCAAGAAGGTTTGTGTTTTATTTTATAATTTTCCCCACCATCCTGATTTAACCCCTAGATCTCCCCCTTTTCTGTTTTCTGCATCAGGTCTTATTGATTGGAGAGCGATTGATTGGAGAGTGCAGACGTATGCAGCAACAGGTTTGTCAGATGTGGTGGTCATTGCTCTTACTCCAGCTTTGCATCCTAGAATCAGTAAGTAACTTAAGACAATCATGAGTAAAATTGGCAACATTCTTTTCCAGTCAAAGAGTGATCCCCAGGAGCAGAGGTCTAACCGGGAAAGATGATCTTGCACACCCTTCCATATGGCTATTTGTTGGGTGTGTAAATCTATAGTGTGAAGAGATTCTAAAATTTTAGTTTTAAGTTGCTTTATGTCTGCTGTTAAATTATCATGAAAGGTTTCCCAGAGGTATTGTTTCATCTCATCCCAACTATGTATAGATTGATTCCATGGTAGAGAAGTGACACAGATATGTTTATGCTCCCAGTCACAGTTTAATTGCTGTAGGACTGCCAGTGCATCTTGTCGCTCCTCCACATATTCCAAAGCAGCCTTGAGGGCTTGCAGACATGCAAGAATTTTTTTATCTATACTCTGCTGTAAGAGAAGTTCATTAGACGCATTTTTGGCCAGATTATCTATCTACAAAGGCAGCTGTTTATACTGACTCAGTAATAGATGCCACAGCAACTCTAGCAGTTGCTAGGATGACTATAGCTGAGACTTTAAGGCCATAAGTGTAAATATGAATCTTTTGTATCTGACCTGGGACAGGGCATGTTCTAAGGTGGCAAGGGCAGAAGAACCTTGCCAATCACATGTCAAATTGACTGGTAGGAATGCCTCAGGTTGTCTCCTTTATGCCATGACACTAGTAATATTTAGATTAGATATGTTGTTAATTAGCGATACATGAGGAAAACCAAGCCTGTCCCTGCACCCAGGTCACAAATGCAATGTTTTGGGGTTATATAGAAATATCTGTTCCCATAAGGAAAACATATGGATGGATAGTGCAAATCAGGCACTGATCAATGTGACTATGAATAAAGGTTATAGTATAGTTGTTACTGGAACTATGATACATCCCATGCAAGGTGTCAAAGGAGGTGCCAAGATGTCCCAGGCACCCTAAAGTGTCTTGGGATGGCATGGACTTTACTTGAGGTCTGGGATATCCTATCCCCCCATTGGCCAAAATCATAGGGGAATGGGGTGTGGCTACAAAACTGTGATTGATGCCATGATGGATGAGGACATTAGTAAGGCTACCCTGCAAATGGCCATGGGGGCCCCAGTCTAAGATGTTATAATTGCCTAACTGGAAGCTACGGGCTTGTCCCCCGTGACAAACCTCCCAGCTAAAGTGAAATCCATTACTTTCCGGGCTTTGTCCTTTACCACAGAAAGGAATGTTTGGGAAAGTGGCATTGATTGCATTACCTGGTTTGAGGCTACCTGCATCTAAGGCTGTTAAGGCATTTCCTTTGCCATGATGTAGCCATAATTATGTTTGGACAGATACAGAGTAAGGGTTAGAACCTTTATAACTTACACACAGTAGGAGGATAGTGTAGTGATATGTAGTGTTATCTGGCACCTTAGTCCAATGTGTGTCATTATTGAGGGACCACACTGGGGGTAAATCTATCCCTCCTAGCCAAGCAGTTACATTATTATAGGCTGGGAAGGGAGTGTCTGCCCAGGTGACAGGGTAAAAGAAAGGTGGGTCTAAGATATGAGCCCAGTAGAGTGTAGCAGGTACAAGTTGCAGAGAAAGCAAGAGCATAAAAAGGATCAATACCCTACGTGAATTGCAATGTACAACAGAAAGCATAGCAAGAAGCAAATTATCTGGGGTGAATGGTGTTTGTGTCCAGAGCAGGATTCGTTCCGCCTCTTGAGTTGTCCTCTTCAGCATCTCCTAGTAAAGTC
Organism: Homo sapiens; assembly: GCF_000001405.40. Classification (NCBI taxonomy): domain Eukaryota; kingdom Metazoa; phylum Chordata; class Mammalia; order Primates; family Hominidae; genus Homo; species Homo sapiens. Next base: position 135,410,139 of record NC_000004.12, on the reverse strand, counting down.
TGGGGCTTGTGTCATCTGCAGAAACCGCATCGTCCAGGGCTGCAGGTCCTGTAGGGTCAATTCCTTCATCTCCAGTACTGAGTTGGGTCCTAGCCATGCCATGGTATGGTTTAATACGTCGTGCTGGAATCCAAAGAGGACCCGAGGGGGTGTGGACACAAGCATACCCTCTTCCCCATGTTAACAATTCATTTGGACCACATCATTCCTTACTGTTTACATCTTTCCATAAAACTGCAGGTTTTATGCATCGAGAGATTTTAGCAAAGTGCTTTTCTACAGCTGATTGAAATTCATCATCTAAATTTAGAAAAGGGTAAATAAGGCTTGTGCCAATAGTGTTGTCCATACTCCCCCTTTTCTGTTTTTTGAGCATATTTTTAAGGGTGGAGTGGGCATGTTCTCCTATGGCTCGTCCTTGGGGGTTATATGGGATGCCTGCGGAATGTTGGATGTTCCGCATGTGACGAAATTGTTGAAATTGTGACCTGGCATAAGCTGGACCATTATCAGTTTTAATTTTTGTGGGCCACCCCATAAATGCAAAAGTTAAAAGAAGATGTTTAATGACATATCAAGTGGACTCTCCAGGAAGGGCGTGTGCACTAATTAGATGAGTGTTGGTATCAACGGATACATGTACATATCTTCCCCTCCGGAGAGCACCATATTACCATACTGCCTGCAAATGATCAAAGGTTTTAGAACCACATGAGTAAACAAGCTATTTAGATAGACTTCTCTACATTCCTATGTTAATTACCCTTGCTATAGCTTAAAGAGAATTGGGCTGCCTTCAGCCAAACTATATGAAGCTACGCAAAAAACTTTGGGCCTTCCAAGAAGGACTGTGTTTTATTTTATAATTTTCCCCACCATCCTGAGTGAACCCCTACAATTTGAAGTTTTCCAAATTCAGAGATGTGTTTAACATCTGTTTGCCATAACTGATTAGGTTCTAATCCTCTAGGGTTAACATCTGTGGATGAAGGGGACATACCAGTGAGCTGGCAATCTGGGCATTGTAGGATAATTTGTTTAGCCAGCCTCTGGGTAAGTTGAAATTGTTAAGTTTCTCCAATTTTGGTGGAAAAATTGATGTGATTGGGTGGCTTGGTCAAGCAGTGATATCATAACTTGTAGGTCTGCTTGTTCATTGCCATTAGCCAATGGACCAGGCAGACAGCTGTGGGCTTGAATGTGTGTGATAAAAATAGGATGTGTACATTTATCTAGCAATTGCTGAAGTCGAAGAAAAAGAGCACACAGGGTGGTGCTGGAGAGTGGACTTAAGGCTGTTTCAAGGTTCTGCAATAAATAAACAGAGTAAGCAGGATCGCTGAGTATATTGATGGGCTGAGTGGAAAAACTTTCCAAGGCCAGTATCATAGCCCTAATCTCAGCTCTCTGAGTGCTAGTAAACACATATCGAGTGATTGAATTATGTGGTCTCCACCAGACTGCCACCTTTCCATTTTTACCGGCTTTTAACTGCTCCTTAACTAACTCATGGACTTTTTGTAATCTCTCTCCCTTTAGAGGTTACTGTTTTTAGGGGTAAGAGAGAGATAACAGTGGCTATTATTAGAAAAAGGTCTTTCAAATTCTTAAATTTTACTTAAATCTTAGCAGAGAATTATAATCTGAGGTGTTGCTTGTATGCAAGGAACACACGAAATTTTGCTGTGGGCCGCCTGTGGAGCTGGAGAGCTGAGCAGGTGGGTCCCGTGGCGGCGGCGGCTTTGCCCTTGCTTAGGCGCTGCCACTTCTTGTCTGCACTGCTTCTTTCTGTGCCGCTTTTTCTGTGTGTGCCACTCCCTCCTGCCGCCATCAGGCAGCTGCTGCTGGCCAGGCAGACTTTCTTGCACATGCCTCCTGCCCCTCCCTAGCAGGCCAGCTCCAGCACGCTGGGCTTGGGTTCCCATCACCACCGCTGACTTGCAGGCTGAAATCTTGGGAGCATTTGCTGGCTCTGGGTTTGCAAGCTACTTGCTGCCAAGCTTTCCCTTTTGCCTACTGCTCACTGGTGCGGCTCCGGCCTCTAATACTTTTTCTTACCTTTTTATAAGCATTAAGAGAAATGAGTTTGTATACCTGATTGCCTTGCTGCTCTTGAATTACCCTTCTAAGGCTAAGAGCTCCCCTTCTAATGCTGCTTGCCTAAGACAGGATTTCATAGTATGTCTGGAATTGGTGGGTTCTTGGTCTCACTGACTTCAAGAATGAAGCCGCGGACCCTCGCGGTGAGTGTTACCGCTCTTAAGATGGCGCGTCTGGAGTCTGTCCCTTCTGATGTTCAGATGTGTTCGGAGTTTCTTCTTTGTGGTGGGTTCGTGGTCTTGCTGGCTCAGGAGTGAAGCTGCAGACCTTCGTGGTGAGTGTTAGAGCTCATAAAAGCAGCGTGGACCCAAAGAGTGAGCAGTAGCAAGATTTACTGCAAAGAGCGAAAAAACAAAGCTTCCACAGTGTGGAAGGGGACCCGAGCAGGTTGCCAATGCTGGCTGGGCAGCCTGCTTTTATTCTCTTATCTGGCCCCACCCACATCCTGCTGATTGGTAGAGCCAAGTGGCCTGTTTTGACAGGGCGTTGATTGGTGCGTTTACAATCCCTGAGCTAGATACAAAGCTTCTCCACGTCCCCATCAGATTAGTTAGATACAGAGTTTGGACACACAGGTTCTCCAAGGCCCCATCAGAGCAGCTAGATACAGAGTGTCGATTGGTGCACTCACAAACCTTGAGCTAAACACAGGGTGCTGATTGGTGTATTTACAATCCCTGAGCTAGACATAAAGGTTCTCCAAGGCCCCACCAGAGCAGCTAGATACAGAGTGTCGATTGGTGCACTCACAAACCTTGAGCTAAACACAGGGTGCTGATTGGTGTATTTACAATCCCTGAGCTAGACATAAAGGTTCTCCAAGGCCCCACCAGAGCAGCTAGATACAGAGTGTCGATTGGTGCACTCACAAACCTTGAGCTAAACACAGGGTGCTGATTGGTGTGTTTACAATCCCTGAGCTAGACATAAAGACTCTCCACTTCCCCACCAGACTCAGGAGCCCAGCTGGCTTCACCCAGTAGATCCCGCACCGGGGCTGCAGGTGGAACTGCCTGCCAGTCCTGCGTCGTGCACTCCCATTCCTCAGCCCTTGGGTGATCGATGGGACTGGGCCCTGTGGAGCAGGGGGTGGTGCTCGTCGGGGAGGCTCGGGCCACACAGGAGCCCATGGAGTGGATGGGAGGCTCAGGCATGGTGGGCTGCATGTCCCGAGCCCTACCAAGCGGGAAGGCAGCTGAGGCCCGGCAAGAAATTGAGCACAGCGCCGGTGGGCCGGCACTGCTGGGGGACCCAGTACACCCTCCGTAGCCACTGACCCGGGTGCTAAGTCCCTCATTGCCCGAGGCCAGCAGGGCTGGCTGGCTGCTCCGAGTGCGGGGCCCACCAAGCCCACGCCCACCCGGAACTCCAGCTGGCCCGCAAGTGCCACGCGCAGCCTGGGTTCCTGCTTGCGCGTCTCCCTCCACACCTCCCTGCAAAGCTGAGGGAGTGGGCTCCAGCCTTGGCCAGCCCAGAAAGGGGCTCCTACAGTGCGGGGGGGAGCTGAAGGGCTCCTCAAATGCCGCCAAAGTGGGAGCCCAGGCAGGGGAGGTGCCGAGAGCAAGCGAGGGCTCTGAGGACTGCCAGCACGCTGTCACCTCTCAATAGCTCTACTGTATCTCCTGTCCTTTTTCTTATCTTTTGGAGGAGGGGGCTTAGGCAAATCCTCTGTTTCCTCTTTGCTATTTTGGCCAAGAGATAGAGGGGCTGAGGGAAGACTCTGACTCAAACAACAGATGAATAACGTATATGGACAAAGATATTCTGCTTGTCAGTCAGGCCAAGGGTCCTGGCAACTTACAGACTTTAAGGAGAGTGCTGTCAGCCTTGGCCCCAGCCCCAACTCGCTGGCCCTCCTGGCATTTATTCAGCACACATTAGGTGACAAAAGTCTCAAGTAAACACCATTAGAGGGTAATCAACCTGATCTCCTTCCCCTCCGGAGAGCACCATAGTACCTTACTGCCTGCAAATGATCAAAGGTTTTAGAACCACATGAGTAAAGAAGCTATTTAGATAGACTTCTCTACATTCCTATGTTAATTACCCTTGCTATAGCTTAAAGAGAATTGGGCTGCCTTCAGCCAAACTATCTGAAGCTATGCAAAAACTTTGGGCCTTACAAGAAGGACTGTGTTTTATTTTATAATTTTCCCCACCATCCTGACTGAACCCCTACAGCCTTTGATGGTTGAGTGCCACCATTTGGTCCCTGCCACCTCAGGATCCTACTATTCCTGTTGTATTTAAATTTCATAGTTGAGTGACTGTGGTTCCCCCTGTTAGATCTGACATGCAGAGAAGAGCAATTACAGGGCTCTTCAGAGATGCAGGTGCTGCCCTCACAAATTATTTAGTAAGGTATAGGTCAATGGTATATCTTATGGATCCTCCCAGCTGGGATGAGTAGGTCTAAAGTGACCAATCCACTCCACCATCCCAACTCTTAAGATCAGGCATTTCCAGCTTTCTCAGTGGGCCATCTTTTAATCCGTAATTCAGCAGACCAGGCAAATAAACTATTAGAACATTTTTTAACTCCCCAAGTTGCAATATTAAAACAGGGTCTCTACTTCATGGACCCAAATCAATAAATTCAGCCTGATCCAACTCTATGTTCTTTTCACCATTATCCCACACCCTTAATATTCATTCCCATTCCTATTCTCCAGATTTCTGTTTATATAAATTACAGAACTCAAACAGTTCTTTTCTAGTGTAGTGCACCTTCTCATGGGCCACACTCTCAACCTCATCTCTAGGGGCCTGCTGGGACTTTAGTCAGGTTATAGGTCTAGAAGCAAAAGGGGTTTTGGGGGTTGCTCCTGAGGAGACTCAACATCATCTTGCCTGGCAATTGCCTCAGGAGAGGCCATCACTGTTGCCTCAGGCAGCACAGGGCTTATCTCCTCAGACAAAGGTGGAAAGACTGATGGCAGCATGGGTCAGGGAGGGGATGTTGCCACTACTGGGAATGGGGAAGGTGCTTCTTCTGGCAAAAAAGCTTCATCAGAGTTTACAAACTCAGCATCCCAAGCTTCATCAGGGTCCTCCCACATGTTCTCATTTCAAGTTACAAGGTCCCATTCTTTTCCAATTAATGCCCTCACTTTAACAGTAGACACCTGGCGAGGCTGTGCATGCACCTTTCACTGCAGATCAGTGACTAGCATGATAAGAGCTTGTGTCTGCTTTTCCACAATTTCAACTCTTTCTTTACAGGAGGTAAGACTCACTCGGGGCAGTCTTAGCAGATTTGAGGGTTAGTATCTGCTTCTAAAGCCAGTGGATAGAATCTCTGAGTTCCTCATTTTCTTTCATCACTTTGTCCACTGAACTTAGGAGTAACCAGCCAGCTTTATTATGTTCCTTCATTCTCCACATATGGTCAAAGGTATTATATATAGAGTCACTAAACCCCTTGCCTCTCATGAGCGATGAATCAGAAGTGTCAAATGCATTTATTTTGCATAAATCTCTAAACAGTTTACGCCAAGGACTATCAATCTTCTCCATACTATTCGAAGTAGAGTTCTCACCATTTTGGGTTCTAATCCTATTAAGCAACCAACTCCAGAAATGCCCAAACCAATGAAAAATCTTCATCCTTAATATTCTGTTCCTCTACAACCACTCATGGCACCAAAATCCGTATTAGTCAGGGTTCTCTAGAGGGACAGAACTAATGGTATATCTATATAAAGGGGAGTTTTTTTAAAGTAGTAACTCACATGATCACAAGGTGCCACAATAGGCCATCTGCAGGCTGAAGTGCAAGGAGAACCAGTCTGAGTTCCAAAACTGAAGAACATGGAGTCTGATGTTCGAGGGCAGGAGGCATTCAGCACAGGAGAAAGATGTAGGCTGGGAGGCTAGGCCAGTCTCCCTTTTTGCATTTTTCTGTCTGCTTATATTCTAGCCATGCTGGGAGCTAATTAGATTGTGCCCACCCATATTAAGGGTGGGTCTGCCTTTCCAAGCCCACTGACTGAAATGTTCATCTCTTTTGGCAACACCCTCACAGACACACCCAGGATCAATACTTTGTATCCTTCAATCAAATCAAGTTGACACTCAGTATTAACCATCACAGCTACACTATGGCCTCTATTGCTGTGGGAGTTCACCACTGTCATAAAATTTAGGAAGCATGTTTTAATAGCTGTATCAGAGGGAGGCATTTTAGACAGAGGACATGCATATCCAAAATATTAAGGCAAAAGATAATATTATGCATTTGAGGAAGTAAAATTGGTATTCTATTTATTATTAATATATAAGCATTCCGCTTAAACTTTAAATCACTATCTTTGGTACATATGGAAGACTGATAAAACATGATGCTGAAGAATAGACAAGAGTAGGTCATGAAGAGCCTTGTGCTATTTTGCAGAGAGTTCATAGTCCTTGCATTTTAGAATCACATATGAGCGATTTAATGCCAGGTGTAGAGACAGAACCTCTATTTACAGGAGCAAAATCTTAGAAAATAAAGATTGACAATATCAAGTATTTGGCACAAAATGGATATATCTTTAAAAATATCTATTTTGAGCTAAAATATTTTATTTGGAAAGCATTTTACTATTCATTGACTATAATTCAGTAAAAAGCAAATGGAGCCCTTATTTTCACATTCATAGGATATAGGGATTCCATTTTGAACATATATCAAAAATAGCAATTATAGAATTGTGTACACAGAGACTGTAGTGAGAAAAAAGTCAAATTCACTAAACCATTGTTTATTTTGAAAATAGCCAATTACTACTGCTTGACTGACAGCCATTTTCATATAATTAGCTGCTCAATTAAGCACAATGTGTTTTTATTCAAATTGCTTCTATGTACAAAAGCAGTAGAAGCAATACATTTCAGGAAGACAGAACATAGCCTCTAACAAAACATAAGAACTGCAATTTAGGTCAATATTTAGGATTCATAATTTATACTGACTTAAGCGGCTTGTTTTATGACATTCTATTTCCATAATAAGTTTGTATCTTAGAGAAATGTTGAATGGTTTTCTATCCTCTGTATTACCGCATTTGTTATATGCACCTAGAAGCATATTTCAAAGAGTAGCTAGGCTGAAAATTATTCATAATAACATTTGCTTCAGATTTATGTTTTGGTTAAATTCACTTTTGACTTAATATTTTAAATAGATTTTGCTCTAATTTACCAACTAAAAGTATTTTAAATATAAAAAATAATGTTTTGCTTGAAACACTAACATTTGAACAAAATTTTCATTTGATTAGATTTTTCCAGTATTTTTGAGGTTATGCTGGTATATGGGCCCAAGCATCATTAGTTTACTCTCTTCTTAATTACAAGTGCAACTATAAATGGAATGAAATGAAATAAATATGGAAGATTACCAATTGCTGTTTGCATCCAACTATGTGCTTAAATATGTTTTCATTTATTATGAAATTATTACATCCTGCCAAGATATGAAATGAGATGCAATGACACACAAAATCAGAGCATTTATCACTAAGAGGCAAGCAGGATGCCTCTACCGGTTATAAAGAGTGTGCTTATATACATTAGAAATCCAGTATGATTATTGAATTTAATCTATTTCAAGTGGAAATTTTCATGTTATCATTCCTCCATCTGTGCTTCCTGCTATATGATTCAAAATCATAAAACAAAGTTTCCAAGTATCAGTACAATTATAATAGTTTGCATGAGTTTTTCTAGTTGTTGAATTATAATTTGGCTTACCTTCGATAAGCAGGTTGTCCCCTGTCTTCTGAATTCTACAGCTATTAACACCACTGCAAACATGTGAATTATATTTAACATTATCAAAATTTATTCTTTAATCAAACCAACATTTATATAGAATTGCCTCAATACATTTAAAATAAAATCACTGTGTTAGATTAGTGGGTTCTAAACAATTGTACCTAATCTTTAAGTTAAATTTTTATAATAAGAGGTATTTGATTGAATATGTCCCTATTACCTCATGAACTGATTATACAATTGTCCCTATGCTTACATTTTCTGTTTAATCTACACTACACCTAACAGCAAGAATAGCTTTCTTAATTATTTTATTTTACTATAATTCTATTCATTTTTCTAGTATTTATTTAACATAGATATGTTGATACATACATATAGATAGATAGATAGATATGTTGCTTCATATGTACCAGGAATATTTGAAGGGCTTTACAAATATTAATAGATTTAACATTAAACCCACCTTCTTCGTATTGCAATCTTTAGTCCCTCCACTCCTTTTCTGATCTATAATTGCTTCTTTTACTTCTATTTAGGATCCTTCTCCCATTTCATGTTAAGAATTGAACAATTGGCATATTCCATAGTTCAGTTCAGTTACCTTGCACTAAAAACTAGGTCAGTAGGTCAGTACTACTTCAAATGTATTTCACTTAAGTATTTAAAATAGATTTGTGCTTAAATTACTGAGAGTTCTAATATTTAGAATAACTGGTTTCATGCTCTATAAAAAGTTGCTGCTCTGGCTTAGTCAAAATAATAAAAGCAGTCAAACTTTTATATTTGTAGGTGTACTACTAAAATAAATAAACTAATACAAAAATGTCAGATAATACACCAACAACTTAACTTGAAAAATGGCTAACACAATAGTTTGAATTTTATGTACAACTGGTTAACTTCATACAACTTACTCCAATAACCCTGTATCATCACGTACTTTTAGTATGTACATTTTAAATGTATCATCTCCTAACCCTCAAAAAGGCAATTTATATATGCACATATATAAAGAAAAAGATAATTTGTATATTTTTTCTAATATAGGTAACTTAAATATATATATACATATACACACACATATAAATTTGCAGTAATATAAATAGAAAGCAAATAATTTACCATATTAAAATAGCTTATCTTTAAAAGAGATTACATAACAGATTTATTGCTTAGTAAGATTACAGCAAGTACATTAGATATTAGCTCATTAGTATGACTTAATTAAGTAAATATATTTTAAATGTTTGTCATTACAAATAAATTCTTCTTATATGCTAATTTCAAAACACAATAATAGACATCATTTTAATAATCTGAGTAATTCAAGCATTGTTCTATATTTTAATCAATTCACTGAAGAAATACAAATTTCAACACTTTTGAAACAGTTTCATTTTAGGAGATCTGGCAAGTAATCATTTTACAATGTATGCTAATCACATTTGACATCCAAAAAGACACACAGGTGATATTTTATTCTGTTAATAAACACAATATTTTTATAAGTACTCTAAATAATTACTTTTGGCTATGAAATGCATTTTAACTCATTTTAAAGATTTTAATTATTTAACATTTTTTAACTCATGCCATAGAAGTAAATAGTGAATAAAACATAATGCAGCCTGTAATTATGCAATAAATTATGACATAATTTTCTGATACTGTCTTTATCACATTCATATAAATAACATTTCTTTGTTTTTTTTTTTTTGCTTTTCAAACATCATGAGTAAATTACTATTTTTATATAACTAGCTAAAAATATTCAGAATTTGGCATAATCTCAAATAGAGATTCTTTAAAGATTTTTATTAGAACTAGTTTATCAGGTATAATTTTAAAAAGATTAGAAGACTATAGGACTCAAACACTTAAAATTTTTTACATGTAGAACATTTTTCTACATTTTCCCTCGAATCTTGATAATAGTTTGTTGCAAAAAGTTTCCATTTGTTTCTTCAAATGGCGTATAAATACATGTGTACACATATACATATATTTTAGCCTATCATTTTCAAACTCCCACATACTTAATCTTCTAGAAGGAAAATGACAAATTGCTGATTTTAAGATTTAATAATCTCATACACTGGGTTGCTATGGAATTAAAGATGAAATAAAATACCTCGTGCTTCATAAACTCCCTCAATCACCTTTGAAAAGTAGTTACTTCTCAAAAATTAAAAAAATGCATCTATATGGAAAACAAAGAGAAATTACAAAATGTAAGCCTGTTTCTTTTAAAAACACATATAGCTTTCATTGCTATTTTATTAAAACCTCTCTTTTAAATGTGGTCGTTTCAGTTATCAATAGCTGTTTAAAAACCGCCACAAACTTTGGACTCTATAATGATGTATTATTTCTCATGATTCTAAAGTTGGTGGGGTAGTTCCTCTGCTGCTTTCACCTGGAGGTCTTCATTTGGCTGCATGCAGCTGGTGGTTAGGTTGGGGGTAAACCTTAGTTGGACTAACTTGGGTGACTGGCTTTCTCTTCCTATGAGATCTTTTTTTCCTGGGCTTCACAACAAAGCGGACATACAGCGGTGTTGCAAGTGGGCATAAGGCAAAGTGGCAAATGTTTTTGAAACCTCGACTAAAATTCAGCCATCACTTGCGCATCATTATTGGCCAAAGCAAGTTATGATATGCCAGAATCAATGGGCAAAGAAATAGATCCCGCCTCATAGTGTAAGATCTGCGAAAGAAATTTTGGCCGTGTTTAACGTCTTTCCATAAACTACCTATTATGGTATCAATATCACCTTTGCAATTTGACTCGGCATTTATATCTGAAGATTGGAACCTCAAGAAGAGAGTCTTATTGCTGTCAAAAGCTGTAGTACTGGTGAGTTAATAACCTTCTCTAATTCAATTTTCATGTCTGCAACACTGTGGATATTAAATGTACACATCTCTGAGTTGCTCTGTAAATGAATTAGGGATAATACATAAAGTGCTTAGCTCAATATCTGGCATAGACTATATTCCAGACAATTGTTTATCCTTAACTGTTTCTAATAGCCTTTTGGCACTCTAAAAATTATAATCATGAAGCAGATATGTTATGAACCATAACTTAATTCTTTCTTGGCATGTATGAGGCCTGCTCTTAAAAAGAGAAGTCTTTTTAGATGTCATTTTTATAAATTTATATTAATCTTTAAACTTTTCTCTTTCTAAGAGCACTTTCCCAATTTGCTGAATAAGATCAAAGAATATATATTTATTCAATGCAAATACCTATTTAGTCACAAATTTTAAATGTAAATCTGCTTAAATCTTTATTTCTGCATCAGAACAATCTTCAGAGTAATGGACTCAAGTTCATCGGGAGGCTAAACTCCACCCTATACCAAATATTTATGCCAAACCCTGAAATCAAGGATATCTGGGAATTATTTATTTATTTATTTTAGATGGAATTTCACTCTTGTTGCCCAGGCTGGAGTGCAATGGTGCAATCTCGGCTCACCGCAACCTCCACCTCCTGGGATCAAGGGATTCTCCTCCCTCAGCCTCCCAAGTAGCTGGGATTACAGGCATGTACCACCATGCCTGGCCAATTTTGTATTTTTAGTAGAGACAAGGGTTTCTCTATGTTGGTCAGGCTGGTCTCAAACTCCTCACCTCAGGTGATCCATTCTCCTAGGCCTCCCAAAGTGCTGGGATTACAGGTGTGAACCACCGTGCCTAGTTGCACCTGGCCTAGGCATTAAATTTATAATGTGTCCTGAGCCATTGCCTCTCTGGCTCTGCATTAATTATCATTACTACGGTTAAGTGTGACTAATTTATGAAACTATTATGGACCCCTTTCACAATAATTAAGCTTCTAGATAATTCACACTATCAGTAATTATGTACCAGTCTACTTTCTCATCTAAAATCTAATTTCCTATTTTTCTAAGAAGGATCATGTCACCCAGACACCTAAACACATACGTATATATGCACACAATTCTTGACTCTCTTGCAAATCCCTAGGCACACAATTCTTGACTCTCTCTCAAATCCCTGCTTTGACCAAAAAATTTAGCTTCAGAATTAAATATCTGTGACTCCTCACATAATTTCCTAACTTACTTGTTCCTACTATTTTCAACAAGAATCATGGAGGAAAATGTAGAGTATTTTACTTAGTACTGCTATAGATATTTTATCCACGAACACCTGTGTAACATGATTTTCCATCTCTACTTCTTTCTCTATCTCTGATCTATTTGTTTATAGGAATTTAATTTAATCCATCTTAAATTGAGATTCTTTGTCTAACACCTTTTACAAACTAGACTCAATAAATGATTTTTAAAAGAATGGCTTTATTAGCATTATATGTATCATTTCAAATGATGTTAGGTTAAAGTTCTATTTTACTCAATCAGTGCTACAAAAATGTTTTGTTGAATAAAAGAATACTTTATCATTCCCCAATTCCAATAATGAAATTTTTGAGAAAAGGAAATAAGAGTTTAATTAATGTAACAATACCAAAGAAATCTTAATTGCTTTATTTTAACCATTGGCAAGTAATCAAGAAATATTTCTTGTTGTCATTATTGTTAAACAGTGAACTCAAGCTGTATCTTTAAAAAAATGTATCCTGGAATTTATAATATGAGCCAATAGTCCAGATTTAAAATAAAAGTAATCATATCAGCAAGAATATAACTCATTTGTGGGGAAAGTAGCAATTATTGGTTACATGATTAAATACAGCAGGTCTTCAGATAACATCATTTTATTTAATGTAGTTTTGATGTAACATTAATGAGAGTCCACGGTCTGTGTTGTGTTTACACATCCTCAGTACTATTCTCTAAAGAAATCCTCATAATACTAAAATAATCAAAAATAAGCAAGAAAACTATTTATTCCTTCTTTCCTACAGTTAATGAAATAAAGGATCTAGGTTGAATGATTTAACTGAAATACACAAATTGTAAATGTGATCATTAGGCTGTGTCTTGGGTCTACATCTTGCAATGCCACAAATCCCACAAAATAAAGATGATCCAAGAGTTTGGAGGAAACTAAAAGACATAATATATAGATAATATACATAACATTGCACATAATTTAATTTATGACAAACTCAACTGATTCTCAGAAGCAAACTTTTAAATGTACATTTTCTTTAATTTCATGCAAATTTGCTTTTATTACTTGGTTGTAAATGTAAATTGCATGTTATTTTATTGCAGACATATTTGCTTGTTTAATCTATTTTGAAAGCTGCAGCAGGATATTTCTACCTCTGGTTATTTTACATCTGATAAAAATAGAGTTAGGATTGGTTTCCACAAACCAACTGAACCATATAGTCAAAGATCATGAGCTAGTGGAGTTAAAAAAGCACTAAAACAATCTATTTTAGAGGGATTTAAATTCTATTTTAACCACTTTCTTCATTGAAAATGGCTGTGGCAGTCCAATCTATAACAATGATAAAAGAAGACCCCATTGTTTGAAAAAAGGATGTACAACTGGAATCCTCCTCAGCCTCTTAATGTGGCCACAATTGAGATACTAAAATCTCTAGGACTAAAGAAAAGTTGAATTTGAAAAAAAAAATTATCTACTTCAGCCTCTCTCAGTTCAAAGAAACAATATCTTCTACAATTACTTAGAGAAAAATCGTGTATATTTTATATATGCCATCCACTGAAAATAGATTAAAAATTAACATTAATCAATTTGAAGCAATACTGAGTTTAAGAGATAATATGAAACTAAACTTTTCTGAGTCAAATATGTATGATTTTAGGGCATATTCTGTATTAGTCCAATTTCACACTGCTGATAAGGACATACTGGGAAGGACACTGGGAAGAAAAAGAGGTAAAATTGGACTTAGAGTTCCACATGGCTTGGGAGGCCTCAGAATCATGGCAGGAGGCAAAAAGCACTTCATACATGGTGGCAGCAAGAGAAAATGAGAAAGAAGCAAAGGCAGAAAACCCTAATAAATCTATCAGATCTCATGAGATGTATTCACTATCACAAGAATAGCACGGGAAAGACTGGCCACCATGATTCAATCACCTTCCCCTGGGTCCTTCACACAACTCATAGGAATTCTGAGAGATACAATTCAAGCTGAGATTTGGATGGGGTCAAACCATATTACATTCCATTCTAGAGTGACATGATATAAAAATACTCCTTTTTAAGGTAACAAACATTGAAGTTTCTTGTCTTATTAATGCATCAGTACTTCCATTAACTTTTTCTTTAACACTGCATAATTTCCAGGGAATTTATCCTCTGTATTATATCTATTTTGTCAATTTCTAACATAAACTGTGAAACATTGAACTTAAAATTATAAGATAAGGGCTCTTCCTGAGGCTAGGCTTTTATATTAAAACTCCTTGTGAGAGTTATTAAAAACCTCATAAAGATGAGGAATACTATTTACCACACTCTTTGAATAAATATTCGTTAATTTATGCAAACATCATTGTTTTTGCACTATTAACTCATTTTTCCTTCTGTTGACTCAAAATTATCACTCTAGAAATCCAAGCACTTCAATGATTGAATTAGGTACTATTTTAGTCCATTTGTGCTGCTATAACAAAATACCAAAAACTTGGTAATTTATAAAAAACAGAAATTTATTTTGCACACTTCTGGAGGCTGGGAATCTAAGATCAAGGTAGTGGCAGTTCAGTATCTGAGGGGAGACCAATCTGTGTTTCCAAGATGGTGACTTGTTGCTGCACCCTCCAGAAGGAAAGGATGCTGTTTGTATGTTCTCACATGGTGGAAGGGATAAAAGAGATTTAAAAGGGCAAATCTTCCTTCACCGAACCCTTTTATAACAACATTAGTCCGCTTATGAAGGCATGACCTAAACGCTTTCCCAAAGGCTGTACCTCCCAAAATTGTGGTTTAAGTTTCCAACACATGAATTTTCTGGGATGCCTCCTTACCATAGCAAATACCATAATTAGCTACCATCTTCAGTTTTGCTATGTCCATAGATTTTATTTTATTTTGAGAACGCTAACTAAAAAAAGAAGTTCCCAGTCATTTCCAGTCCACATTAACATTTAAAAAGCAGTGAACTAGCATAGGTATACTATCGAGAATAAAGGCTAGCGTTACAAGACTTCTATAGTTTTCCAGGATAGAATTCCTCTATAAAGGCAAAATGAGGGCATATTAAGTTATATAGTACAGTCTGAGAAAACTTCATCTACACTAAATCGATGACAATTTAATCAGAAAAAAACCTTAATATAAGGGAACCTGGAAATAGTAAAGAATATATTTTAAAATAACACTAAATCTAAGTAAATATTTCAACAAATAGTGGTTTAAAAAATGGATATTTCCATGGATAAAAATAAACCTCAACCTTTAACACATACCGTACTGAAAAAAAATATTATCAGATGAATATTTGATCTAAATATAAAAGTTTATGTTATAAATCTGCTTGATAAAATATGGAAGAATATTTTTGCAACCTAAATGTGGACAATGATTTCTTAGACAAAAATAAAAGGAAAATAATTTCTAAATTAGATTTCATCAGATGGAAAAATGAAAACCTGTGTGCATCAAAATAAAATGTTGCAAAAATAAATGTACAATTTACAGACTTGGAGAAATATTTGTAACACCTATTTCTTACTAAGGATGTTTATGGAGAACGTATAAATAGCTTCTGCAACTCAATTACAAAAAGAGGAACTGATAAAAAATATTGAACAAAATAATGAATGGCTAATGAGTTCATGAGTACATACATCATAAGTCTTTAGAGAAATAAAAACTAAAATTATAATGCAATAACACTATATACCCATTAGAATGTCATAAGATAACAAGACTGATAACACAATATATTGATAAGGGTGTACAGCCAAAAATCTAATATAATACTGGTGGGGAAAAAATGTTGTTCCTTTGTTTTCCTCTTATCATGACACTTTATTAGCTTCTTTCTAATATTTTTTTCTCTTATTTTCATTAAAATAAATACTTAAGCAAGAAGTGAGATTTTTAAAAAATAAAATTCTAAGAAATTTAAATTATCTTTGAAGATGCTTGAAAATATTCTGTCATATTTTGTATCTGTTTTCACAGTTTGGAAGATATATCTAAGAAAAAACAACTAAGACAATTTGTATCCTAAATACAAACAGCATAGGATGTTTTTATGGGTTAAATTGCATCTCCAGAAATTGATATGTTGAAGCTCTTAACCCCAGTACCTCAGAACACGACTGTATTTGGAGAAAAAGTCCTTAAAGAGGCAAACTTAAATAAGGCCATCAGAGTGGGTCATAGTCCAGTCAGACTGGGGTTCCTACATGACAAGATTAGGACACAAAGAGAGACACTGGGGACGCCCTTGAAGAGGGGAAAGACCATGAGAAGACACAGCAAGATGATGGTTATGTGCAAGCCAAGAAGCCAGGCCTCAGGAGAAACCAAACCTACAAGTATGTTGAGCTTGAACTTCTAGCCACTACAGCTGTGAGAAATAAATATCTGTTGTTTAAATTGCCCAATACTTTGTATGGCAAGCCTAGCTCATACAGATATATTTTTTCTTTTAACACAGTAACTAAGACTACAAATTCATGATAACTTTACAGGTGTAATTCCAAGATTCTCCACCCCTAACAGGCTATTAAAAGAATTGTAACATAGGATGATGTTAAAGTAATTCTCATACATTCACGATAATGTATTCTTCCATATAATGGGGGGTTATTAGATCAAGTTCTAAAGGTAAATATTTCCTTAGCAATGTTGAATGTCTTATCTATTGTTTCTTTTATTAAGATTTGTTTTCTGTATCTCGCAGGAACATTGTTGTTCTAGATTTTATATTCAGGATATTGTATTTCTGAAGCAAAATGATACGAAATATTGCCAAACAAAATAAAATATAAAGAGTACTTGAACAGTATTATAAGAGATAAGATAAAGAAAGGCTACTGTTTAAAGTAGCCAATATTTTAAGATATAATTCAGGTCCTAAATGTTTTATATTACTCTCAGCATAAATACATTGTCTAAACATTTGCTTCAGGTTAAATATAATTATACATGTTAAGTCTTTCTTGTTTAGAAACATTATCTCATATAATTAACCAAAATTTTACACTAAAATTTGTAGCATCTGTAATAACGTTCTTCAGCAAATTCCATGAGGATGGGAATGTACTTCCATTACTTCCCTCAGTTGTTAAGTAAACTCTTTTAGAAGAGTAAAGAAAGTGAAAAAAAATTATTCATTGTGTCTGCCTAATGAAGAAAATTTAGTACATTTTATTTCACATGTATAACTGTTTCTTCACAGCAAAGGCATTATGGCTGAAATTTTTTTTTACTTGATAGGCAGTTTTATTAGTTTTCATGTATATAGGTAAGTGACCTGTCCTTTGTTTAAATTGATTTTGTTCAGAAAAAAGAATTTCATTCATCTGGATTTGCAATGGTGGTAAAATGAGAAAAAGTGTCCTATAGATTACCACATTTTAAATATTTTACCTTGAATCGTAAACACTTCACTCTAGTAGGTACTTTAGAACTCAGTTGTTATTTGTCCTCTGAATATGATATACCTTTATATGAGAAACAGACTCCTAACTATGTTTATTTTTCAGTTTTTTTTTCTTTAATATCTCCTTGGAAATAACCACAATAATCTGCCATTCTAAATATTCACGATCCTTCCAGTCAACAGTCACTCTTTAGGTTTAACCTTTGCTACTGGACAAATATTTCTTTTTGCTTAATTGTGATTAATTAAGTGATGATAACTTCAATTTCAAATTGAAATTTGACACCAAATCATTTTTTTTTCTTATGGGTCTTTCCTTGGGTTCTGCAAAATACTCTGCAACAGTCCTTCTATTGGTCAGGCTCTCTCAGACAATATCCAGGCATTTACAGAAGTTTGAAGAACATGTTAACATCAATATTAAAAACAGCAGGAGGCAGCTGAATGCCTAGGCAGACAGGGATGAGTCCCCAGTGAAACTCCACCTTCAAGCCAAAGTAGCCTAAAACCCACGGCCCAAAGTGAAAACTTCTATTCCTGTTGCCTGCTTTCTCTGGATTGGTTCTTTCTGAATAATGTCTTTTGACCAGTTGAATGTTGCCTTTTCCAAAAATACCTACAGCCTGCCCTGTCCCCATCCTGTGCCTTTAAATTCCCCATACTCAGTTAGTAGAGTGGGCAGACAGTTGGACTTTGGGGAAGAGAGTTAGCTTGACTTTGGGGAATAGACAACTGGACTTTGAGGAGAAGATGACCTCACTTCAAGAAAGACTACCTGCCCTTCCCATTCACTCTCCAGCTCCCCTCTCCACTGAGAGCCATTTCCACTGCTCAGTATGATTCTCTGCCTTCACAATTCTTCAAGTCCCTATGTGATCTCATTCTTCTTGAACAAGGACAAGAGCTCAGGATCCAATAAGTGTGGGTACCCAGAAAGGCAGTCCCACCAGCCCTTTGCCCTCACCAATGGAAGGCAGTCACCCCATGTCACAAGGCAAGGGGCCAACTGAGCTGTTAACACACAGCCGTCGGAAGACAACGGAATTAAAGGAGCAATGTAACGTCCCTTTGCTGTTCTCATGAGAGTGAATGATTTCTCAGGAGATACAGTTGTTTAGAAGTGTGCGTATGTTTATTGCAGCATTATTCACAATAGCAAAGACTTGGAACCAACCCAAATGTCCAACAATGATAGACTGGATTAAGAAAATGTGGCACATATACATCATGGAATACTATGCAGCCATAAAAAATGATGAGTTCATGTCCTTTGTAGGGACATGGATGAAATTGGAAATCATCATTCTCAGTAAACTATCGCAAGAACAAAAAACCAAACACCGCATATTCTCACTCATAGGTGGGAATTGAACAATGAGATCACATGGACACATGAAGGGGAATATCACACTCTGGGGACTGTGGTGGGGTGGGGGGAGGGGGGAGGGATAGCATTGGGAGATATACCTAAGGCTAGATGACGAGTTAGTGGGTGCAGCGCACCAGCATGGCACATGTATACATATGTAACTAACCTGCACAATGTGCACATGTACCCTAAAACTTAAAGTATAATAATAAAAAAAAGAAAGATTTCTAACAAAAAAAAAAAAAAAAAGAAGTGTGTAGCACCTCCCCCCTCACTCTCTTCCTCTTGCTCCAGCCAGGTACAATGTGGGCTTCCCCTTTGCATACCACCATGATTCTGAGTTTCCTGAGGCCTCCTCAGCCATCCTTACTGAATAGCCTGCAGAACCATGAGCCAATTAAACTTCTTTTCTTTATAAATTACCCAGTCTCCGGTAGTACTTTATAGCAATATGAGGAAAAACTGATACATCAACCCCACTTAAAAACTCCCAGGGAGGATATAAATTAATCTGGTCTGGTTCATTTGCATATCCCTAGACTAAAAAATATTATGGAGACTCTGAGTCCTAAAGCAAGGACACAGAGTGGTGATCATGGGGCTGTAATAGGCAACTCCACCTGAAACTTCTGGAAACAGTTGAGGATAACAATTTCTTTAAGGAAAAAGGAAGCAATATTTAAGATGTGTGAGGTAAATAGTGTTGAGGAGACCAAAACATACATATTCAATACTCACATAACTTTATGATTACAAGTTTGTAAAGATAAATGATTAATGTTATACTTTGAAGATAAATATTATTCTCAATATATGTTGTCTACATCA
The DNA here is from genome assembly GCF_000001405.40 of Homo sapiens. Lineage (NCBI taxonomy): Eukaryota > Metazoa > Chordata > Mammalia > Primates > Hominidae > Homo > Homo sapiens. The sequence goes on along the minus strand of NC_000004.12, from coordinate 135,390,542 downwards.
AGGGTCCCTATCCCTGGGGCCATGAACCAGTACTTGTCTGTGGCCTATTAGGAACTGGGCCACACAGCAGGAGTGAGCAGTGGGTGAGTGAGAATTACTTCCTTATCTCTGCCTCCTGTCAGATCAGAAGTGGCATTAGATTCTCATAGGAGCGTGTACCCTATTGTGAACTATGCATTTGAGGAATCTAGGTTGTGTGCTCCTTATGAGAATCTAATGCCTGATGATCTGAGGTGGAAGAGTTTCATTTCAAAACCATCCCCACCCCTCACCATCCATGGAAAAACTGTCTTCCATGAAACTGAGCCCTGGTTCCAAAAAGGTTGGGGACAACTGGGATCCCTGGTGTGAAAAAGGTTGGTCTACATGTTTTTTTATAATATGTTTGACTAAGGGAAAACAGTACTGTTTATTTTGTGATATTATTAGATGATACTTAAATGTCTTTTTTACATTTCACATTATTCTAAAATTAACTATATATAGTTAGTTTACATTTTAAAAATAATAACTAACATATTTGAGTATTTAATAGGTGTTAAGGTTCTGTGCTATTCACTTTATACACACTACATCATGTAACTACAGCAGCAAATCTATGAACAAATTAAATATATATTGACATCATTGTTTTAAATGTATCCAATAAAATATAAATACCATAGTAATTTGACACCAATTATTATTTAAAAAATAAAAAGCTCTTTATTAACAATTGACAATCGTATGCCTTAATTTTCTCTTTAAATCATATTAACACTTTTTTCTTACAGATTTTATTATCTGGTACTAATTATATTTATGGTTGAAAATCATATCAATCACTATATCAACTATTCTGCAACACTGTATTAGTTCATTCTTGCATTGCTATAAAGTAATACCTGAGGCTGGGTAATTTATACAGAAAAGAGATTAAATTGACTCACAATTTTGCAAGCTGTACAACCATAGCCCCAGCATCTGCTCCTGGTGAGGGCATCAAGAAGCTTCCAATCATGGCAGAAGGCAAAGGGGAAACAGGCTTATCACATAATGAGAGTGGGAGAGAGAGAGAATTGGGGGAAGGTGCCACACTCTTTTAAACAACCAGATGTTACACGAACTAACAGAGCAAGAACTGCACTCATCAACAAGGACTGGTGCTAAGCCATTCATGAGGGATCTGTCCCCATGATCTAACACTTCCTACCAGGCATCACCTCCAACACTGGGGTCACATTTCAACATGAGATTTGGAGGTTAAAACATCCAAACAATATCAAACACAAATATCTACCTAAATTACAATTAATGTTGTTGAATTTTCAATCATATACATTTCTTTCTAACATTGAACTTCATAATAACTATTTGGATCTAATTATTCAAATGTATAAATATAGTACAAATTTGGGTAAATGATTATTAAACATAAAAAGTAAAATTCTATTTTAAATGCATTTCTTAATGTAAATGCATAGGGACAAACTTGTTGCTTCAATCAGAGGAGTGATCAGTATTTTCTGCTATCTCTTTTCATGACCTGCAGTTTTTTCACCCAAGCAGTGTAACCTGGTAAGTTTCCATGTGGGTAAGGAAATAAATTTCTCTTCTAAGGTGTAAGAAAGGAAATTGTGAAAGAGGAGATGAGAAAGGAAAGCCCATGGGGCCTTAATCACTGGCATTTTCTCCACCAGATCAATTTTAGGAAAGAGTTGGGGGGGTATGCAGGGAGAGGAGAGGGATGCAATACAGGGTCAGCATTTGGAATTTGTTTTCTTTACAACAATTTCTGGCTGAGTTTCCCTTGGATTGTTTTCATGTTTCACTGAGGTTGCCTAGTATGAAGATTTCTATTATAATACTCTCACTTAGATGAGAAAACAAGTAGAATTCAGGAATATTTCTCAAAGACATACCACATCTGAGCTTTGGAGATGACATTTGAGTTAGGTTCTCTCTGATCCCTTATCCATATACTTAACCACTTAAATACACTGATCCCAACTCAATTATATTTCATGAAACTAATAATGCTATGTCACATAGATTCATTATTAAAATAAAGTGTTAAGGAACTTTTAATATAAGGGTAACAGTTTGATAAATAACACTTCATATCCTGTTTGTTTGTAACAGAGAAGACTGAAACAAGGTAAATCACATTTCAGAGAAATAAGAGAAACGTGGCAATCAGAATGAGTCCATTACTTTCCTTCAGAGTACATGTACATTTCTTTTTGTCTTTAAACAAAAGAAACAACTATGGCGTGACAAAATGCACAAATATGCACACACATACACAAACACACATCACTCACTTGCAGTACTTCTTTATTCAAAATGCAATACAGGTAAGGGAGTGTTTATATGTATAAATATGCATACGCTTCAGTTTCTAAGGAGAAATAAGGAGAATAGGATAAAAAAAGTGTCTTTTAACTTTTCACTTTAATCTCTTTTGTTTTAATATTCTACCTTCAGAGATGCTGTAGTAACCATGGTGGCCATCTTGATTTCTGGTCTGGGTGACCAATGTGTTTCATAAATCCTAATAGAATATACAAACTGAAGAATGCATGACCTTGTAGCTCTGTGGTCATTGAACACTCCGTGGAAGACCATTAATGTAAAGAGTGAGGTAATTAAAACTGTGGTTCTATGCCAAAGGTTACATTCCCCAAAGCTCAGAGTTAAAGTGCAACATTGAGACAAGAGGGAGAGAACCAGAATAATGCTAGATTAATGCTGTAGCATTAGTATACCCAGGTGATTTATCACGTGGTTGGCAAACATAAGGCATTGTTAAATACCCAGGGTAACAAGGAAAGTGGCATAGATGGTGATAACTTGTAAACATGGCTACAAATAGAAATGAGTGATGAAGAACAGCAGCACAATCCATGTATTCATTCAACACAAACTTGCTGAAGGCCACTGTGTATGAAATACTATGCAGTCTAGCTGCAAAGTCAATCAAGATAAGGACCTTTCTCTCTAAGAGAGAAAGATTCCAAAAAAAAAAAAAAAAAAAAAAAAATAGTCAACTCCAAGACACAAGGCAGTAAGATTTAGGTAGATAATGGAAATCTATATACATATTGTAGGAGGGTGGGTTCGTTTTTGGTGACATGCCTGAAAGTTTAGGATGAGTTATATTAGATATACAAAGGACAAATGATCTTTCTTCATGAGGTTTTTATAGAAAAGCTCAGAAGTGTGGAACATGGGGATGAATTAGAAATTAGAAAGTTGTTTGGTATAGTTGGAGTAAAAAGCATTATGTTGAAATACTGAATTGAGTAAATTAAGTCAGCTAAATAAATAGTGGATTTGATTAATTTGCTATGCTGTTATTGAGACTCAGACATGCATTTTAGGTATGGGTTCCTGTATAAGAAAGCTTTATTCAGTTTACCCAGCATGAGCGTGAGAAAGCAAGCACATAGTCATTGTTTTTAGGGTGGTCATGATTTGAACACATGCTCATACAGTTATTAGCTATGGGACTTTGAGAAAATTCTTTACACTCTCCAAGTCTCATTATCTCATTAGAAAGACACAGTGATATGTAACCTTCAAAGTATATAAAGTATTCAAATATAGAATGATTCTAATCTTGAATATGGTAGGCATTTAGCTATGTATTTTTGCTATTATTTTTGAATGGTAAGTTAAAAACATCATCTTTCTTCCCATGAAAAAAATCATTATATAAAATATCTAAAACATTAATTTTGTATATATAAAATGGCAGTGGCATTAAAAGTATAATAATAGAGGTCTGAAAAAAATGTTTCACTAATAATTTATAATGGGAAAAGCTAGAAGACCACAAATAGCAGAAAACAAAAATTAAAAATCATGAAAACACGGAGTTAAGCAAATACTTAATGGAAATATGGCTAAATACAGGGTTTAGAGGACATAAGTTACTATTTAACATTTTGATAGTGGCAGGAGACAGACAAATTCCTAGACAAACAAGGCAGATCCTCAGTGAAACCTGACCTTCAAGCCCAAAACATCCTGAAACCTGAAAACCCAGCTACCAGTTCTGGATGCAGTTCATGACTGACCTGAGTGAGAACTTCATTGACGCCTTATAGCCAGTCAAATGGTGCTTTTTCCAGGCCTGCCCATGAACTACTCAGCACACACTCCCCTAAGCCGCACCCATAACAACCCCGGACTCAGCCACATGTTGAACTACCTGCTTTCAGGTCCCCTGTCACCCAGATGGCCACCCACTCTTGAGTCTCTTCTCTGCTGAGGGCTTTCCTTCTGTCACTCAAAATTTTTCCCTGCGTTGCCCACACTCCAGTGTCTATGTAACCTCATTTTTCTTGGTTGTGAGACAGGAACCCAGAACCTACTGAATGTCAGGAACGAAAAGGGCTATAACATGTCCCTAGTCAGCTTGCTGAGCTATAGGCAGTGACCGGACTATGGGAGTGAAGAGTGGTGAAACTTCGGAGGGCCCAGACCTCAGAGCTCCCCAAGCCAGAGCTGTAACACCACCCCTTTCACTAGGCCACTGACAGCAGAAACAAAGAAGCTATGACACGCCCCTGATCACTGGGCTGTGAACAGTGGGAGAGCTGGTATCTCTGAGTTTTGGGGCACAACAGCATTCCTCTCGTCCAGATGCCACTGCCCACGGCAGAAGCTGGTTGCAGCACACCTGGTACAGGGTAGACTTTTAATATTTTATTTAATCTTTACCAAAAATATTCTTTCACCTTTTGTTTCATTAAAAAATATGCAGTTAAACATTTTTATACCTTGAAAAATATTTTTTCTTATCATGGTATCAAACCAGTATTAAATAGAAACTATAGGAGGCCATTGCTTTGGACTAAGCTCCTGCACTAGGTCCCAACAGACCAAACTGAAAATCAAAATGGAGTCACTCATGCTGAAGTTCATGTCTTCAAACTGAAACTGAACCTTTTGAGAAATCAGGAGAGAGAGAGATAACAGCCTGATTTAATAAACAGGCCAGTGTCAATCTGCATGATAATGAAGTTCTCTTGGTTTTAATCCTTAACCTGCAGTAACTTGATGTTAGTTATTGTTCTCTTGCCCCTGTCTTATAAGGAGAGTAACTCCAAAATGACTAATCTGCTTTTTACTCTTTGTTTCTGCATTCTTCTGTCCTGTTTCTGTCTATAAAGCTAACCTCCTTTGCTTAACTGATAGGAACACTTGTTCCATTTTATTGAATCAAGTGTTGTCCCATTCTAAAATCTCAAATCAAGACAACTGAGAACTTTAAATTAAATTTGTTGTAATTTTGCCTTTTCACACACTGTTTTTTCTTAGTTGTCGCTATAAAGATCCTTGAAATAACTTTTTAATATTATTTGAATTTATAATCAGTATGGCATAAAAATTTGGAAGGAACCCTTTACATAAATGCATGCATATACACACACATAAACACACACACACATACACACATACACACACACACACACACACGCTATGCCATAGGAAAGCTGCTTAAATATAATGTTTTTAAAAATATTCTGGGTTGGAAGTTCAAGTCAATGGACTCATATTTTTAGGAAGGTATGAATGTTTGAAATGGGGACCAGAAAAACTCTGCCTCCTGGTCTAATTATGTTCTAAGAAAGAAAAAAGAACCTGAGCCAAAAAAGTGCAAAAGTGTAGAATACAAATTTTAAATTCAATTCTAGAAGATTCTAAACCACAAAACTATTAAGAATATTCTAAAAACCCAAGAAACCTCAGAGACAGTGAGGGGCAAACATAAAATTGTCCCAGAGAAATGCAAGTATTTGGAATTTTCATGGTAAACAGTTATTGCTACAGATAAATTTATCTTTCAAAATGATATATCATGATATAAATATATCAACATGAGTATAAACAAATGCCACAAATAGAAGCATTTACAACTCTAGCTATAGAAGAATCAACTATTTAGAGAAAAGACGTGAAAGTATCATAAAGGCAAATTTCACTTAGTGTTCTTGTATTAATTTGTATTGCAATTTAATCTTATAATCTTATTTGTTACTCAGAAGAAAAGCCACACACACACACACACACACACACACACACACACACATATCACATCACATATCAATTAGATGGAATATTTTTAGGATGAAATATCTTTCATTCAAGATCACCAATTCAATAAGATAATTAAAGAGAAACTTGAAATAATGTTTCCTTTTTTCTCCTTAAAGTCCTTTATGTTACAAACTATGTTCACCATAAATAAATTCAAAACCAACATATAAGGTATTCTGATTGCAGAAATGTTATTATCTTTCCTTCTAAACTTACTTTTTGGCAACTTTAGTGTTTGAAGTCTTTTACATCACCCTGCATATATTTAAACTTGTAAACAAAAGGATTGAAAGCTGTCATTTGAAAATGTCATGTCTGTTGTCAGTGATTCATGAATAATTGACATTGAGATTACCTAGGGAAATTTGCAATTAGCCTTCTCATTAACATAAGAACGAACAGTAAGCTGCTTGGTGAATGCTAGATTTAAACTTAAGTATTTACTCAAGAGATAAAAAGTTAAAAAAGGACCTCTAATGAAAAATTCATTAGTTCAATGTAATATCCCAGGGGTTTCCAAGTTACTTCATGAATCAGTCATTGAGAAAACCAGAACACATATTCAGTTATTCATTTATGCACTCAAATAACTGTGAATGTCCACAGAACAAAAGAGATCAATCTAGAGGTAACATATAATAAAATGATGATTTCAACTGCAATGGTAAGAAATACATACCATTTAGGCCAGTGTTAATCTGTTATTGATTATTCAGAGTTAAAAATTACACTCTAAGAAATGTACATGTTAATAAAATAATAACAAAATTTGTGTGCATAACTACTCTGAAATGAATTTTGTATGTAAAACCACTAAGGTGACAATAAATATCATTATGACTCAACATTTTCTCTTTAAGGTTGATGTTTAAAAATCAAGGGAGCATTGATCTACATAAAAATGGGCACTGATCTTTGCCTAAGTGTAGTCATAAATAAGATAAAGTGAGTAATGTTAGATAGTATGCACATAAAGATACAAAGTGTCTGTTTCTATTCATTTTTTATGTGAATAAATTGCTCAATTTAATTGCACCTAACTTTGGAGGTGCCTTTTGAAATCCACTCATATTTCAGGTATAATTAAATGCAGCAAATATTTTAAAGAATTCATTGCTTTTGATTCAATTTTAGAGATGAAATGATGAGCGATGTAAAATAAGTTAAAGATATTAGAAAATAATACAATACAGTTCACGGAGTTCTAAAGAAAAGATATTTGTATAGAGTGAGAAAAAATATAAATACATTTTTGGAGTAGTTAATATTTCACATACTGCATGTTATGAATATGTGTCATCCAGACAATAAACTCACATAAGAAATAATGCATTTGGAGAAAAAAGATGATTTTGCTTTATATAAAGCATCTCCTCTTAAATTACCAAGAAGTACAGGAATCAACAAAGGTACATCAGAGGCTACCTGAACTGGCAAAAAAACAAGCCAAAAAGTTAGAGATGTAGACTTAAACACCTTTTAACTTATCAATTTTTATCAATTTTACATAATATGTCATTTTCTGTTTCCAAGAGAGTTTACATTTGAAGTTCACTTCGCGTTTGTGTAAGTGACATGAATACCTCCCAAGAAGCCTTTGTAACTGCCTAACGGGTTCACCTTACTCATTGCCTGGAGAGAGATGATTTATCAAGACAGCAGAATTGCAGTAGAGAAAGAGTTATTCACACAGAGCTGGCTGTGTAGGAGAACAGAGTTTTATCATTACTCAAATTAGCCTCACAAGCATTTGTGGATCCGAGTTTTTAAAGATAATTTGGTGGATGGAGGTGCCCAGTGAGTCAGGAGTGATGATTGGTTCTGTTGGAGATGAAATTATAGGGAGTTAAAGCTTTCCTCTTGCACTGAGTCATTCCTGGGTGGGGGGTCACAAGATCAGAATGATGAAAATTTTTGCTAGGCTCACAGCAGGGAGCTCCTGTCTACCCAGGCAACCTCTGGCTTGTGCTCCAGCCTGCAGCCACTGTGATTGTATACTCAGCCCCTGGCGGGAGGGAGCATGTGAGCGAGTGAGTGCAGGATCCAGCCAGTCACTCCGAGTGCTGACACTCAGAGTGCTGCATGAGTAGGCTCCATGCAGGGCCCACAGCAAGATCAGGAGTATCACCCTGAGGGCAACATGGAAGTGCCCAACAGGCAGGGGTGTCTGCAACCCCAAAGCCCAAAATAGGGAATTACAGTGTGCTAATTACTTCTTTTAGTTCTGTCATCTGCAGCTCAACAGATGGTGGCGTGTTAGCAGCTCAGTCAACCCCATATCCCATTCTGACCCATGGCTCTGGGACTGGCTCAGCTTCACTGCTGCTCCTATGACATGGGGTGGTTGCCTTCTTCTGGTGAAGGCAGAGGGCCAGTGTTACAGTCTTTCTAGGTACCTGTGTTTGGTTGTTCTGAGCTCTTGTCAGGAGGTTATGCTGACAATTAAAGGGATGAGGATGGATAATTTTATTGACCAATGAAACAGCTTTCAGCAGAGAGGAGATGGGAAGGTGGGGTCATTTCTCTCAGTGTGGCTGAGCCTGGGGGTTCTTATAGGCATAGGATGGGAGGTGGTGGGCTGCAGGTAGTACAGGAAAAGGTAACATTCAATTGGTTAAAAAGCATTATTCAGAAACAACAGTTGGGAAAGGGCAGGCAAACAGGAAGAGAAGTTCTCACTCTGGGTCATGTATTTTATCTGGAACCAGTAGTCCAGGCTGTTAATTGGCTCAAAGGTGGAGTTTTACTTGGGACCCGCCCCTATTTTTCTAGGTGTTAGCCTGCCTCCTGCCACTATCAACATGAGCCAGTTTATTGATATGGTGGTGCCAGCTGATCCATCAAGTGCAGGGTCTGCAAAATATCTCAAGCAATGATCTTAGGTTTTATAATAGTGATGTTATCCCCAGGAGCAATGAGAGGAGGGTCAGAATCTTGTAGCCTCCAGCTGCATGACTCCTAAACCATAATTTCTAATGTTGTGGCTAAATTGTTAGTCCTACAAAGGCAGTTTAGTCCCTGGGTAAGAAGGGGGTTTATTTCGGGAAAGGATTGTTACTGTCTTTGTTTTAAACAATAAACTAAGTTCCTCCCAAAGTTAGTTGGGTGTAACTACCTTTGGAATGAACAAGGACCATTGGAGATTATTAACAGAAGCAAGATGGGAGGGCGGGGCCAAGATGGCTGACTAGAAGCAGTGGCGATCTGAGACTCCCATTGAAAGTAACCATAACAGTGTGTGAATCCTGCTCTGGCAACTGAGCTATGCAGGTTCTGTCATCAGAACTGACTAGGTGGCTGGCATGACCCATGGAGAGGAAAAAAGAGCAGTGTGGTATGATAGCTCACCTGAGAGCTACATGGGGCAAGGGAGCCCCCATCCCCCAGCCAAGGGAGGTGGTAAGTGAGTGGGGAAAACATCCTTTTTTCCATGGAACTGTGCAACCCATGGATAGGAAAATACCACTTGTAAGCCCATGCCACCAGGCCCTAGGGTCCCAACCATCGAGCCAGGCAGATTCTCAACAATCATTAAGCTGGAATCTGCTTAACCCTGCAGAGCTGCTGATGGGAGAGGTGACAAGCACCACAGCTGCCAACTGTGGCTGCCTGCTATCTAAGCCTTTGAGCTCCTCAGGGAAGGGGCAGCAGCACTGGGACTGATAGCCGTCTAACACACTAAGTTCCCAGGGCAGGGGAACAGGGCAGCCATCTCTATAGCTCTAAGCCATGCTTTTCCCTGGTGGAGCTGGAGAGTCTGGACAGCTTGGTTGCAAGAGGTATTCCCTACAGCCCAATACACCAACTGTAGCAGACCGTGAACAAAGTGCCTTTTCAGGCCTGACCTTTACCTATTCCACATCACTGGGCGGGCCTCCCTGCAGGAACTCCAACAACTCCAGCTAGGGGCTTAGGGACAGAACTCTGATATCCCTGGACCTGAGCCCCTAGGGAGAGTGTTGGCTGCAGTCTCCAAGGACCAGCAGACTTAGACTTTCCTCCTGCTAGTTCTAAGGAATCTGGGCAGCCCAGACACAAGGGTTTCCCTCTAGCAAAGCACACCTCCTCCTTCAAGGGATAAAGTGCTTTGTTATATGGGTCCTGCTCACCATGCCACCCAACTGTGTGAGACCATCCAACAGGGTCTGTCAGACATTCTATACTAGAGCGTTCCTCCTGGCTTCAGGTTGGTGCTCCCCAAGGTCAGAGATCCCAGAGAAAGGAGCAGGCACCCATCTTTGCTGTTCTCCAGCCTCCTTGAGTGACATCTCCAGGCACAGGAGTGAACAAGATGAATAGGGCCTGAGTGAACCCCCAATACACTTCAGCAACCCTAAAGAAGAGTGACCTGACTATTGCTAGAAAAACAAACAGAAAGCAACAACAACAGCATCAACAAAAAAATTGCCCACAAAAACCCCATCCAAGGGTCAGCAGACTCAAAGATCAATACTAGACAAACTAATGAACGTGAGAAAGAATCAATGAAAAATGTTGAAAACCTAAAGGACCAGAGTACCTTTTCTCCCAATGATCGCAACACCTCTCAAACAAGGACACAGAACTGGATGGAAGATGAGATGGACAAATTGACAGAAGTAGGCTTCAGAAGCTGGGTAATAACAAACTCCACTGATCTAAAGGAGCATGTTCTAACCCAATGCAAAGAAGCTAAGAATCTTGATAAAAGGTTACAGGAGCCTCTAAATAGAATAACCACTTTAGAGAGGAATATAAATGACTTGATGGAGCTGAAAAACACAGCACAACAACTATGTAAAGCATACACAAGTATCAATAGCGAAATCAACCAAGCAGAAGAAAAGATATCAGAGTTTAAAGACCATCTTGCTGAAATAAGGCATGCAGACAAGAGTAGAGAAAAAAGAGTGAAAATGAATGAACAAAACCTCCAAAATACATGGGACTATGTAAAAAGGCCTAACCTATGATTCACTGGAGTACTTAAAGGACAAGGAGAATGAAACCAAGTTGGAAAACACACTTCAGGATATTATCCAGAACAACTTCTCCAAACTAGCAAGACAGGCCAACATTCAAATTCAGGAAATACAGAGGAGACCACTAAGATACTCCACAAGAAGATCAACCCCAAGGAACCTAATCATCAGATTCTCCAGGGTCGAAATGAAGAAAATAAATGTTAAGGGCAGCCAGAGAGAAAGGCCAGGTCACCTGCAAAGGGAAGCCCATCAGACTAACAGTGGAGTTCTCAGCAGAAACCCAACAAGTCAGAATAGAGTGGGGGTGAATTCAACATTCTTACAGAAAAGAACTTTTAACCCAGAATTTCATATCTACCCAAACTAAGATTCATAAGAGAAGGAGAAATAAAATATTTTCCAGACAAGCAAATGCTGAGGGATTTCATCACTCACAGGTCTGCATTGCAAGAGCTCCTGAAGGAAGCACTAGATATAAAAAGGAAAACCAGTAACAGCTACTGCAAACACACACCAAAATATAAGGACCAATGACACTGTGAAGAAATTGCATCAACTCATGTGCAAAATAACCAGATAGCATCATGATGACAGGATCAAATTCACACATAACAATGTTTATCTTAAATGTAAATGGGCCAAATGCCCCAGTTAAAAGACACGGACTGGCAAATTAGATAAAGAATCAAGACTCCCTGGGGGTGCTGTATTCAGGAGACCCATCTCATGTACAAAGACAGACATAGCTCAAAATAAAGGGATGGAGAAAGTTTACCAAGCAAATGGAAAGTAAAAGAAAGCAAGGGTTGCAATCCTAGTCTCTGAAAAAATAGACTTCAAAGCAACAAAGAAAAAAAGACAAAGAAGGGCATTATATAATGGTGAAGGGATCACTTCAACAAGAAGAGCTAACTATCCTAAATACATATGCACCCAATACAGGAGCACCTAGATTCATAAAACAACTTCTTAGGGACCTACAAAGAGACTTAGACTCCCACACAATAATAGTGGGAGACTTTAACACCCTGTTGTCAATATTAGATAGATCGATGAGACAGAAAATTAACAAGAATATTCAGGACTTGAACTAAGTTCTGGATCGAGTAGACCTAACAGACATCTACAGAACTCTCCACCTTAAATCAACAAATTATTAATTTTTCTCAGTGCCACATGGCAGTTATTCTAAAATCGACCACATAATTGGAAGTAAAAGACTCCTCAGCAAATGCAAAAGAACCAAATCATAACAGTCTTTCAAACCACAGTGCAATTAAATTGAAACTCAAGATTAATAAATTCAATGAAAACCACACGACTAAGTGGAAATTGAATAACCTGCTCCTGAATGACTCCTGGGTAAATAATGAAATTAAGGCAGAAATAAAAGGTTCTTTGAAACCAATGAGAACAAAGAGACAACATGCCAGAATCTCTGGGACACACCTAAAGCAGTATTAAGAGGGAAATTTATAGCACTAAATATCCGCATCAGAAAGATCTCAAATAGGTACCCTAATATCACAATTAAAAGAACTAGAGAAGCAAGAGCAAAGAAATTCAAAATCTAGCATAAGAAAAGGAATAACTAAGATCAGAGCAGAAATGAATGAGATAGAGACATGGAAACCCCCTCAAAAAATCAAAGAATCCAGGAGCTGTGTTTAGAAAAAATTGACCAAATAGATAGATCACTAGCTAGACTAATAAAGAAGAAAAGAGAGAAGAATCAAATAGACACAATAAAAAGTGATAAAGGGGATATCACCACTGACCTCAGAGAAAAGAATACTAAAAACACCCCTACGCAAATTAACTACAAACTCTAGAAGAAATGAATACATTCCTGGACACATACACTCTCCCAAGACTAAACTAGGAAGAGGTCAGATCCCTAAATGGACAAATAATTTCTGAAATTGAGGCAGTAATTAATAGCCTACCAACCAACAAAAGCCCAGGACTGATGGATTCACAGCCAAATTCTACCAGAGGTACAAAGAGGAGCTGGTACCATTTTCTTCTGAAACTATTCCAAACAATTGAAAAGGAAGAACTCCTCCCTAACTCATTTTATGAGGCCAGCATCATCCTGATACAAAAACCTGGAAGAGATACAACAGAAAAAGAAAACTCTGAGCCAATATCTCTGATGAACATCAGTGCAAAAATCCTCAATAAAATACTGGCAGATCAAATCCAGCAGCACATCAAAAAGCTTACCCACCATGACTAAGTCAGCTTCATCCCTGGGATGCAAGCATGGTTCAACATACACAAATCAAAAAACGTAATCCACCACATAAACAAAACCAATGAAAAAAACCACATGATCACCTTAATAGATGCAGAAAAGTCCTTCCATAAAATTCAACATTCCTTAATGCTAAAAACTCTCAATTAACTAGGTATTGATGGAACATATCTCAAAATAATAAGAGCTATTTATGACAAACCCATAGCCAATATCATACTGAATGGGCAAAAGCTGAACCATTCCTTTTGAAAACTGGCACAAGACAAGGATGCTACCTCTCACTACTACAATTCAACATAGTATTGAAGTTCTTGCCAGCGAAATCAGGCAAGAGAAAGAAATAAAGGGTATTCAAATAGAGAGAGAGGAAGGCAGTTTGCCTCTGTTTGCAGATGACATAATTCAATATTTATAAAACCCCCTCATCTCAGCCCTAAAACTCCTTAAGCTGATAAATAACTTCAGCAAAGTCTCAGGATACAAAATTAATGTGCAAAAATCACAAGCATTCCTACACACCAACAATAGACAAGCAGAGAGCAAAATCATAAATGAACTTCCATTCAGAATTGCTATAAAGTGAATAAAATACATAGCAATACAGCTAAAAGAGATGTGAAGGACCTCTGAAAGGAGAACTACAAAACACTGCTCAAGGAAATAAAAGAGGACACAAACAAATGGTAAAACGTTCCATCCTTATGGATAGGAAGAATCAATATTGTGAAACTGGCCCTACTGCCCAGAAGTAATTTGTAGATTCAATGCTATTCCCATTAAACTACCATGGACATTCTTCCAAGAATTAGAGAGAAACTACTTTAAATTTCAAATGGAACCAAAAAAAAAGCCCTTATAACCAAGACAATCTTAAGCAGAAAGAACAAAACTGGAGGCATCATGCTACCTGACTTCAAACTATACTACAAGGGTACAGTATTCAAAACAACATGGTACTGGTACCAACACAGACATACAGGCCAACAAAACAGAACAGAGACCTCAGAAATAACACCACACATCTACAACCATCTGATCTTCGACACACCTGACTAAAACAAGCAATCAGAAAATGATTTCCTATTCAAAAAATGGTGTTGGGAAAACTGGCCTGCCATATGCGTGACACTGGGCCCCTTCTTTACACCTTATACAAAATTTAACTCAAGATGGGTTAAAGACTTAAGGGTAAAACACAAAACCATAAAACTTAGAAGAAAACCTAGGCAATATCATTCAGGACATAGGCATGGGCAAAGACTTCATGACTAAAACACTGAAAGCAATTGCAACAAAAACCAAAATTGACAAATGGGATCTAATTAAACTAAAGAGCTTCTGCACAGCAAAAGAAAAAAAAAAACTATCATAAGAGTGAACAGGCAACTTACGGAATGGGAGAAAATTTTTACAATCTCCCCCCGACAAAGGTCTAATATCCAGAATCTACAAAGAACTTAAACAAATTTATGAGAAAAAAAGAAATAACATTATCAAAAAGCAGGCAAAGGATATAAACTGACACTTCCCAAAAGAAGACATTTATGTGGCTGACAAACATGAAAAAAAAAGCTCAACATCATTAATCATTAGAGAAATGCAAATCAAAACCACAGTGAGATACCATCTCATGCCAGTCAGAATGGTGATTATTAAAAAATCAAGAAAAAATCAGTAAGAATGGCAATTATTAAAAAGACAGGAAACAACAGGTGCTGGAGAGGATGTGGAGAAATAGGAACACTTACACTGTTGGTGGGACTGTAAACTAGTTCAACCATTGTGGAAGTCAGTGTGGCGATTCCTCAGGGATCTAGAACTAGAAATACCATTTGACCCAGCCATCCCATTACTGGGTATATACCCAAAGGAGTATAAATCACACTGCTATAAAGACACATGCACACGTATGTTTATTGTGGCACTATTCACAATAGCAAAGACTTGGAACCAACCCAAATGTCCAACAATGATAGACTGGATTAAGAAAATGTGGCACATATACACCATGGAATACTACGCAGCCATAACAAAGGATGAGTTCATGTCCTTTGTAGGGACATGGATGAAGCTGGAAACCATCATTCTCAGCAAACTATCGCAAGGGCAAAAAAAACAAAACACCACATGTTCTCACTCATAGGTGGGAATTGAACAATGAGAACACGTGGACACAGGAAGGGGAACATCACACCCTGGGACCTGTTATGGGGTGGGGGAAGGGGGGAGGGATAGCATTAGGAGATATACCTAATGTAAATGACGAGTTAATGGGTGCAGCACACCAACATGGCACATGTATACATATGTAACAAACCTACACATTGTGCACATGTACCCTAAAACTTAAAGCAAAATAAAATAAAATAAAACAAAATAAAGAAAAATAGTTGCTGGAGAGGCTGTGAAGAAATAGGAATGCTTTTACACTGTTGGTGGGAATGTAAATTAATTCAACCATTGTGGAAGATAGTGTGTTGAATCCTCAAGAATCTAGAACCAGAAATACAATTTTATCCAGCATTATATATATCCATATTACTGGGTATATACTCAAAGGAATATAAATCATTCTACTATAAAACACATGCACACCTATGTTTACTGCAGCACTATTTACAATAGCAATAACATGGAAAAAACTCAAATGCCCATAAATAATAGACTGGATAAAGAAAATGTGGTACATTTACACCAGGGAATATTATGCAGCCATAAAAAGGAATGAGATTATATCCTTTGTAGGAACGTGGATAAAGCAGGAAGCCATTATCCTCAGCAAACTAACACAGGAACAGAAAACCAGTCACCGCATGTTCTCACTCATAAGTGGGAATTGAACAATGAGAACACATGGACACAGAGAGGGAAACAAAATGCACTGAGGCCAGTTGGGGGGTGGGGGGGTGAGGTGAGGGAGAGCATTAGGATAAATAACTAATGTATGTGGGGCTTAAAACCTAGATGACATGTTGATAGGTTCAGCAAACCACCATGGCACCTAGGTAACAAACCTGCATATTCTGCACTTGTATTCCAGAACTTAAAGTAAAATTAAAGAAAAAAAAAGAAAAGAAAAGAAAACTTGTACCTGTATGTTTGTTTGGCTTTTTTTTTTTTTTTTTACAATGCTACATTTCTTATTTAAAAAACAAACAAACAAAAAAAACTCTTAAAGTTATAAAAAAAGGAATCAGTTTGTGATAAAATATATAAATGAAAACATTAATGACATATTAACCATTGATTAAAACTATGCAAATAAACATATGTATATATAAAATGAATGTAAACAATTGCACCAAGTTAATAAAAATTGGTTTAATTTATAAAAAAGAAAAAAGGAAAAATGATTCTTTTTTTTTAGATAACCATTTATATTGCGGGACTTAGGAAATCAAACAAACAGTGGAGTTCAAATTTGCAAATCAAGCAACAGGTATTTAATAAATACTACTTTTACTCTTAAAAAAAGCAATATGGAGTTGGTTGGGTCAGAACTCTCACTGTCTCGTTATAATTTTGCAATGGTGGTTTCACCTTTTAAATTTACTCTAGATGTTTCTTACCTCTTTATCTAATTATTTAATTCATTTCATATAGCAATATAAGCTTGATAAACCTCAAAAATTTATAATCAGTATTTCATATTATTGTTATCATTTTGAGACAAGAAGTAAAATCCTTAATTCTAATTATTTGTAAGTGAAACATTATTACATTATTATGTATTATCAAGGCCTGTTAACGAAAAAATCAAATTTTGTAGAATATTTTAAAGTTTATTCTGAGCCAATATGAATGGCCATGTCCAAGAGAACAGTCTCAGAAGGTCCTGAGAAAGTGTGCCCAGTGTGGTCAGCTTACAGTTTGGTCATATGCATTTTAGGGAGACAAGAATTGCAGGTAAAATTACAAATCAATGCATGTAAAGTGTACATTTGTTTGGCCTAAGGTGGTGGGATATATTGAAGTGGAAGGCTCACAGGTCATAGGTAGATTCAGATTTTTCTGACTGGCAATTGGTTGAATGAGTTAAGCTTTGTCTAAATACTTGAAATCAATAGAAAAAAAAATGCTTGAGTTAAGATAGGGAGGGTTGTGGAGGCCAGGGTTCTTGTTATGTAGACGAAGCTTCATATGTAGCGACCTTCAGACAGAATAGATGAGAAATATCTCTTTTCAGACTTTAAATGTGTCAGGCTTTTAGTTAATCTCTCCAGATGCAGGGGAAAGTTCAGAAAGGGAAGACCTGGCTGGTTGTACTAAGAGACTCTACAGATGTAAGTTTCCCACACAAGAGTTGACTTTCTCGGTGACGTTCTAGCTGGTTTTCCTGGAAGAATATTTGAAACAAGAGAGTGAAGCAGCATAGCTTGAATTAGCAGAAACTCCTTGGCTCAATGAACTGCTAAGCAACAAAGTTCTTAAAGCAATACAAGATTCTAGAAGTAATAGTAGTCTTTGAAATATGACCGAGATCCTAGTTAACACTTCACATCATCAGGGCAACCCAATAGCTATGAATGTTACTGTTACCGGGGGTCCTTGCTCCCAGTGCTCCCAAGATGGGGCTGCTTCAAAGATGGCGGCGGGCTGCTTAGAAGATTGTGGCAAGCCTCGTGTTCCCTGACCTGGGGTTCTTGGCCTCACGGATTCCAAGGAATAGAATCTTGGGCCATGCGGTGAGTGTTATAGCTCTATTAGAAGCCGTGGGTCAAGGAAGAGAACCGTGGAAACTAGTGACTAATGTTCGGCTCGATTAGGATGAAACTGGGCACTCAGACATGCAGGAACAATGGCAAGCCTTTAGTCTGACAGGGAGCGGCAATGGGTGCCTCCCTGGACCAGTAGCACAGTGGACACCCTGCTGGAACCAGAGGGATGGAAGTCAGGGGCGGGTCTGCGACGGCGGCAAACAGCAGTGGTGGATGGCGAGCAAAAGCTCAGCTCAAGCAGTAACAAACACGGACCAGAAGAGTGTGCAGTTGCAAGATTTAATAGAGTGAAAACAGAGCTCCCATAAAATGGGTGGGAACCAAAAGAGGGTAGCTGTTGTCGGCTCGAATGCCTGGGTTTATATCCCTATCATTGTCCCTCCTACTGTGCTGTCAGGCGATAGATGATTGGATATCTCTTTACCTCCTGTTTTTGCCTAATTATCATTTTAGTGAGCTCTCTTTACTACCTGATTGGTCGGGTGTGAGCTAAGTTGCAAGCCCCGTGTTTAAAGGTGGATGCAGTCACGCACCCAGCTAGGCTTAGGGATTCTTAGTCGGCTTAGGAAATCCAGCTAGTCCTGTCTCTCACATGGGCTCCACAGGGTCACTGACGACAGAAATGTCTCTCGGCTGTACCTGGAGACAGAGATCGAGGCTCTCAAAGAGGAGCTGTTCTTTCTGAAGAACCATGAAAGGGAAGTAAAAGGCCTACAAGCCCAGATTGCAGGCTCTGGGTTGACCCTGGAAGTAGATGCCCCCAAGTCTCAGGACCTTGCCAAGATCATGGCAGGCATCCTGGCCCAATACGACGAGGTGACTCAGAAGACCTGAGAAGAGCTGGACAAGTACTGGTCTCAGCAGATTGAAGAGAGCACCACAGTGGTCACCACGCAGTCCGCTGAGGTTGGAGCTGTTGAGATGATGCTCACAGAGCTGAGACTTATAGTCCAGTCCTTGGAGATCAACCTGGACTCAATGAGAAATCTGAAGACCAGCTTGGAGACCAGTCTGAGGGAGGTGGAGGCCCCCTGTGCTCTGCAGATGGAGCTTCTCAACTGGATCCTGCTGCACCTGGAGTTGGAGCTGACACAGACAGGAGCAGAGGGGTAACACCAGGCCCGGGAGTACGAGGTTCTGCTGAACATCAAGGTCAAGCTGGAGGAGGCTGAGATCGCCACCTACCGCCACCTGCTGGAAGACAGTGAGGACTTTAATTTTGGTGATGCCCTGGACAGCAGCAACTCTATGCAAACCATCCAAAGACCACCACCCATCAGATAGTGGACAGCAAAGTGGGGTGTGAGACCAATGACACCAAAGTTCTGAGACATTAAGCCAGCAGAAGCAGGGTACCCTTTGGGGAGCAGGAGGCCAATAAAAAGTTCAGAGGTCAAAAAAAAAAAGATTTTATGGTTTGTACTGTGTAACTTAACCCTGGCTTGCATGGTCTTAGGTCTTCTTTATAATTTGGTATTTTATTGCCACAGAGTATGTTTTGTCAGCTTTATGATCTCTGTTTTAACATTAATGCTGGTCAGCTGTACTTAAACTCCAAAACAGGGGAGTACAAGGAAGTATGGCTGACTTTGCTTCCCTTGTGGCATGGAATTCAGTTTTTCAGGTTTCTCTGGGATCCCCATGGCCTATGGAGTGTTCATTCAATCAATTTGGGAGCCACAGGATTTTATTTTTGATTTATGAACCCATCTTGAGTGTTTCTATATATATTCAAAGGCCCCACAAGAAATTATATTTTTTTTCCAAAGAGCAAGTATATTTGTTACATAAAAAAGAATATGTACCCTTAAGAAATAACCATAAACTTCAAATTAGACAAGATCATATTGAAAACAGCAAGTCTGTATCCATCTAGTTGTTAAAATTGGTAATAGATATGTTCTAAGGAAATTTAGCTAGTTATGATAGCTCACTTATTTCTCACATTACAAATTTGACTGTTAAGGGTGACAGAGCTTAAATGTGGTCGCAGTGGGAATGTATTTTTTAAGACATTTCTTTCCATCTTGAGGATATAATAAATGTAAAATTCTTCAACTATTCCACTCTACTAGAAAAAGCCCTGAGGTTTAGGTTTCAGACCAAGTTAAATCATTTTTACCCTATAGGAAAAAAACTGAAATTTAAACTTAAATTATGTAGAAATTTTGCTTAAGAGTCCCTTTATTAGAGCTTGTTAATTAATGATCTCCACACTTACTTTCTAATTTATAACTAATAAAATCAGTCTATCAGACTAAACTGTAAGGGCTATTTATCATAATGTTTTGTTCACTAAATGGAAGCCATAGTTTAAAACATTTTAGTTAAATCCAGCCACTTACTATCAACCAGTATCTCTATTTCTAAATCCGGAGGCAAAAATATCACTTAAGTCTGAATTATAAATGTTTTCTAAAACAGTATTAAGTTATATTCTTTATTCCTTATTTTAGATAAATTTGAGAAAGCTTAAAAACAATATCAATACTTTTAATTTAAATTTTCATTTTAAATGTAGGTGCTACTGTATCTGTCTACAGCATATTTTGCCAATAATTCTTGAATTGGAATTTTATTTAAAGTTGCCAGAGATAAAATTCAAAGCCTTCATTATACCAGCATTATCAAGTGAATACCATTAATATCCAATATCAATCATTGTGTCTTTAATGCCTTATGCATTAACTTGAGGTCTACCAATTGAAATTTTCTGTTAATCGTTTTGAACTTAATTGAACTAGAGTTTTGCATTATTATCATAATTTGTGGGGGAAAATCTGCAGGAATTTATTTTTAAGTACATATTAAAATTAATTAAAATAATCTATTTTCAAAACTTTAACTTCATAGATTAATATAAATATGCAAATTAAGAGTTTAGTGTTATTTATATTATGCTTATTCAAGGTCACATTTTATGAACTAAAATTTTCTTCTTCCATCAGCCTTGTTCAGATCATCACCACTTCTCAATTGGGTGATGGTGGTAGTTTCCTACCTACTGTTGTTACCGGAGAGGGGTCCCGATCCAGATCCTGAGACGGTTTATGAATCTCACTCAAGAAAGAATTTGAGGTGAGTTCATAAAGTGAAAGCATGTTTATTAAGAAAGTAAAGAAATAAAGGAATGACTGCTCCATAGGTTGACCAGACTTGAGGGCTGCTGATTGCCCATTTTTATGGTTATTTCTTGATTATTTGCTAAACAAGGGGTGGATTATTTATGCCTCTTTTTTTTAGACCATATGGGGTAACTTTCTGATTTTGCCATAGCATTTGTAAACTGTCCTAGTGAGGTGGGAATGTAGCAGTGAGGATGATCAGACGTCACTCTCATTGCCATCTTGGTTTTAGTGGGCTTTAGCTGGTTTCTTTAAGGCAATCTGATTTATTAGCAAAGTCTTTATGACCTGTATCTTGTGCCAACTTCCTATTTCATCCTGTGACTTAGAATGTCTAACGTCTGGGAATGCAGCCCAGTAGGTCTCAGCCTTATTTTATCCAGTCCCTATTTAAGATGGAAGTGCTCTGATTCAAATGCCTCTGAACACTGTAATACAATCGTTTTTCCCCAAGGCAGACAGTCATTTTAAGAAACCATAAATAGGATGATATAATTCCTTTGCTTAAACACCTTCAATGGATTTGCATTGTACATGGAATTAAAACAGACCCTTAGCAGGGCTTACATGATTCAATTTCTGTTTACTGTTCTAACCTTACCTCAAACAGTATTCTCTTTGGCTTAGTATGCAGGTGTCCAGGTTTCCTTTTGCAATTCTTTGAGCAACCAATGCTCTTTCTTATCTTTGAGGCTTCCTATATTCTGCTACGTCTGCTCAGAAGGCTGTAACTCCTTTCGTGAGTTATTTTTCCTGGATCCAGTCTTGACTTATCATATCCTATCCAAGTCTGACCATGCTAATGCCCTCCCCATTCAAAACACCCAAGAGCATTTTACTCTTTTTAAAAATCACATAATCACTTATTTGTAAATTAGATATTATATTCTAGTTTGCCCCGAAGAAGATAAGTTGCATGACATTGATGCACTCATTCAGAGACTAGCACAGTTCCTGAAGCACAGTGTAAGTCATCAAAAGTAGTTCTTAGAAGTCTAATAACAGTGCATTCAGAAACAACTTTTTCAGAAAGTTTAATAATTAAAGATTTTTATTTATTTGCAAGTAGTTATTTTTACTGAGGAGAAAAAATATTTTACTGCATTTAGTTAAAATAAATTAGGTAATGGAGCTAAGCTTTTTATACACAGTAGCACTACAGAGTTACAATTACTGACCATTAAATTGGACTACTTCTGGAAGTCAATACAAAATAGAGAAATGTTAAGTTTTTTTGTTTGATAGGAAAAATCATTCCAGTTCATAGAAAAAAATACTTTTCTTTCAAGTAAAAATTGAGAGAAATTATAGGTGATTATACAAGGTAGAACAATTACATTTTTAAAAAAGTTTCCAGAAAATGCAGATAGTTTTAATCAGTAATAGAGAAGCTTGGAGTAAAATTCTCAAAACAACTCAGTAAACATACTAATAGGGGAACAAAAAACTAGAGACTGAATACTGATTCAATGCATATTTATATTTATTAAATTCTTAGGTACTGGTGACACTGCACTAAACAAAAGTGACAAAGCTATTGTTTTCATGACATGTATGTCAGTGGACAAATTAAGATCAAATTGTTGAGTGGAGAGGTTGTTATTCTACTTACCACTCATCCCCTTTCAATTAAAAATTACTTTCAAAATGTAGCCATTTATCAAGATTTTTAAAAACCCTATAAAGTTGGAAATGGAAGAAAATGCAACATTACAGGGCATGAGACAAAAATAAAGTGTATCAAGATCTGCACTTAATTTAAATTATGTCAGGTTCAACTCTGAGAAGGCAGATGTTTGGGTAATTGTCAATTGTGATATAGGCTTCTATACTATATTTTGATCTACCTGAATCATAATCTCAGTAAGAGTACTTTGAAATCTATTATCATTATTTCTTCTGTATTAGTCAACTATAGCCACAATAGCATTGTATAACAAACCATTCTAAAAGCAGTGGATTGCAAATTAAGCTTTTATTTCTCACTCTTATGTGGGTTTGGCTGGAGTTCAACTGATCTAAGGCAGCTATCAATTCTTTACCACAGGTTGGGTTCAGGTCTATTTTTTGTATTTCTCATTCTGGGAGACCAATAGGTTTCTTAGAGCATGCCCATCTCATTATAGAGACAGAACAGAACAGGGAAGCCCAACCATGCAGCTCCATTTCAAGCCTCTCTTCACATTTCTTTAATCAACACATTTGCCGGGGAAAGTGTCAAGGCCAAAGTACATGGAGGTGTGCTGGAAAAAAATAAATAAATATGAGACAATAATCTAATCTACCACAAAATCAAATAGCCTGGCTAATGGACTGTTGCAAATAACTCATATATTTTACAACAATATTTTACAGTTCTTGTAGTTGCTGTTACTGCAATAAGCTACAAAATTTATGAGTAGGTGGGCAGCTATAGAGTAAGACTTTTTTAATGTCATAAATAAGCCTTTAAAGAGCTCTTTTTTGCTTTCTAAAATTCATATTACTCAAACTTTTATTGAGATAATTTTAGATTAACCTGAAGTTATAAGAAATAACCGAGAGATATTTCTTGTACCTTCACCCAGTTTTTCTTAATGGTAACATCTTGCAGAACTACAGTACGATATTTCAAATAGGCAATTGACTACTATCTGCCATCTTTATTCAATTTTATATGACATTATGTGGTGTGCCTGCATGTGTGTATAATCCTATGCAATTTTATGTGTCAATTTATAGGAACATCACCACAGACAAGACACAGAATAGTTCTGTGTCTGGTAGGAATCTCTTGTGCTATCCACTTACAGCCACAGACTTTTCCTCACCTCTGCTAGTACTAATCTCTGGCAGCTAGTAATTTTTTCTTTACCTCTATAATTTTGTCAGTTTAAAAATGTTCTACAAATGAAATCACACAGTATATTACCTTTGAGATTGGCTTTTTTCACTAAGTACATTTCCCTTGAGGTCTATCCAAGTTGTATATGTATCAATAGTTTGTTCTTTATTTACTGATGAATAATATTCACTGTTGTGAATTTACCAGTTTGTTTAAGCATTCACCTATTGAAGGACTTTTTTATATTGATTTTGACTACTATGAAATAAAGATGCTATGAATATTTATAGATTTTGTGTGAACCTAAGTTTTTATTTCTGTAGGATAAATACCCAATAGTGCAATTGCTGGGTCATTTGGTAAACAGAGATAGTTTGGAAGGAAACTCATACTTTTTTTTCCAAAATAGCTGTGCTATTTTACATACTTCTCAGAAATTTGTGAATGATCCATTTACTTTAGATATCAGTCATATCTTTTCTAAAATGTGCTGGGAGAATCAGGCCTCTATTTTGCATAATATGGGTAAAATTTCAGTGTATTAACAGTAACTTTATAGGAATTGAAGAAGTATGCATTTCTTGGGAAATACCTAAAACAAAGCATCAAGCAGTCTTCAGGAATTAGAAAATTGCTCACAGAATTCAAGAACCTTTCACTTGAATTTTATATTCTTGAAGTTAATTTTGCCTTTTTAAAAAATTTTTGAGATGGGGTCTCGCTCTGTCTCCCAGGCTGGAGTGCAGTGGTGCGATCTCAGCTCACTGCAACCTCTGCCTCCTGGGCTCAAGTCATCCTCCCACTTCAGCCTCCCAAGTAGCTGGGATTATGGGCACGTTCCACCACACCCAGCTAATTTTTGAATTTTCGTAGAGTTTTGCTATGTTGCCCAGGCTGGTCTCAAGTGATCTGTCTGCTGGGCCTCCCAAAGTGCTGGGTTTACAGGCATGAGCCACCATACCTGGCCTTATTCTGTCTTTTAATTCATGGGATTATATGTTTCATAGTCCACAATACAAAGATCAGAGATCATGATAGTTTCATATGGTTTTATACAAATAAACTGAAGATGATAATAAATAGTTTGAGAATAAAAAATTATGGGTTCAAGTGATTCCAAAGAAATGATTCCATTTACTTTAGGTTTTAAATTATTGTTCCAAAATATTTTTCACATTAGATTTCACATTTCTTCCCTTTCTTTTTCCTCTGATAGTTTAATTATGAGTCAGTGACATAAATATGTTGTAGAAATTCCATATTCATGATTTCACAAACTTAGTAATCACATGAGAAAAAATGCTCTGGAAACAATATCCAAAAAAGCCTTCTTATCACTATGGTTTAGGTTAACTGTCTGTGACTGAGCAAGATATATGGCTGGAAGGCAGATAATCGGAATAGTTATAACTTGGGGTGGGAATGAGTTTTCCCAAATTATTCTCATTTAAACAACATGGAATTAAATACATATATATTATATTTATAAATATATACACTTTTATTTATTTAGATAGACAGAGTTTAGCTCTTGTTGCCCAGGCTGGATTGCAGTGGCATGATCTCAGCTCACCACAACCTCTGCCTTCTGGTTGCAAGGGATTCTCCTGCCTCAGCCTCCCGAGTAGCTGGGATTACAGGCGCCCGCCACCACACCTGGCTAATTTTTGTATTTTTAGTAGAGATGGGGTTTCAGCATGCTGGTCAGGCTGGTCTCGAACACCTGACCTCGTGAACTGCCCGCCTTGGCCTCCCAAAGTGCTGGGATTACAGGGGTGAGCCACTGTGCTCGGCCACACATATTTTAATAAAAACTTTATATATGTTTATATATATATATATTTGAGTCAGGGTATCCGTCTGTGGCCCAGTCTGCACTGTCATACAGTGATGCCATCAGAGCTCACTGCAGTCTCTATTTCCCAGGCTCAATAAATTCTTGCACTTCAGCGCCCTGCAAGTAGCTAGGACTACAGGCATTTGCCACCCCACCTGGCTAATGTTTTGGATTTTAGTAGAGACAAGGTCTCCCTATGTTGCCCAGCCTGGTCTTGAACCCCTGAGCTCAAGGGATCCTCCTGCCTCAGCCTCCCTAAGTGCTGTGATTACAGTTGTGAGCCAACACACCCAACCTAAATTGTATTTTAATAGAGAAAAAAATGATTCCTATGAAGATACCAGAAAAACAGAACATACTCACTGATCTCCCCCTCCCCTAAACATAGCATTTTCCAAGGAATAATCAGATTTAATATCCAATTTCTAGCAATGTGAATTGAATTTGAATGTAGATTGACCATAAAACTCTATTTGAAACTATACCTTGGTTAGAATTTATAAATGCATATTTGTGGCATCAGCTTTATCTTCTAGCACGCCAGAGGCAGACCTCACCAATCAAGCACATTTAACTTAATGCAGTTTTAAAACAACCCCCATAGGGTATACAAGCCAGCCACTACCAATTTAACAGAGTTGACATGTTAGAGAAAATCTATTTGTAGTGTCAGAACTGTCCAGTGGGAAATCCTTTACAATATTCCTCAAGTTTTACCCCAGAATACTTGACTCTTTTCATTCTATTCCAAGATAAAAATAATTGTCGAACTAAAGTTAGAAAATGAAAACATACATTTTAGAAAATATAAAGCTATTACATTTTCTTTTTATGGAGTCAAATCAGTCAGAAATTGTAAAAACTATAGGTATTTATGATAGTAAAATTTCATGAAAGTTCTGTAATCAATGAAGATTGGAATATTCAGTTATGCCTGAAATCTGCAACTTTTTCATGAAGTTGTTTTTTTTTTTTTTTTTTTTTTTTTTTTTGACAGAGTCTCGCTCTGTCACCCAGGCTGGAGTGCAGTGGTGCGATTTCGGTTCACTGCAAGCTCTGCCTCCCAGGTTCACGCCATTCTCCTGCCTCAGCCTCCCGAGTAGCTGGGACTACAGGTGTCCACCACCACGCCCAGCTAATTTTTTGTATTTTTTGGTAGAGATGGGGTTTCACCATGTTAGCCAGGATGGTCTTGATCTCCTGACCTTGTGTTCTGCCCTCCTCGGCCTCCCAAAGTTCTGGGATTACAGGCATGGGCCACCACGCCCGGCCTCATGAAGTTCTTAAGAGAACGAGAGGGATAAACAAAAAACTAAAAGACAAAAAACAAAAAAAAAAGATGTGTTTTGTTTTATATATATTGTCTCTATTTTGGTTGTCATTATATACATGATTAAGTACATATTATTAAAATGTAAGAGAAATGCTAATTAATTCTAATTGAGAATCTCATACATCAATACATCAAGAGATAAAAAGAATATACAACTAAGGACTAGACTGTTAATAATATAATCATTCGAGTTTATTTTCTGCATATTATAGTGGTTCTCAAATTTAGCTGTTTATCACCTTGACTTATGAAGTTTTATTAAACTACTGAAGATAAGCTCCAAAAGCAGACACACAGAATAAGCTTCTCAAAAGGTGAAATCCAAGCAACATAAGAGATTCTAGAACACAAACAGGATTGTGAACCACTGGCTTTGCCTTACATCAATCTGTTTCTACTGGTTGAGTGACTGTTAGTGCTAGCATATCTACTTTGACAAGATAAAGGTTAAGAAATGTTTCTAAAATTATATATGCAGCTTTTTTGATAGTAAAGAAATCTGCAGATGCAATAGTTGAAGAATTATGTTTTGCTACTTTTCTCTTACATACAGAAAAATTACCAAATTTGTATGATTCTCACAGATCTCAAGGAAACATGGCTGCTTTTAAAAAGCACAAAGTACACTGCCTGAGGTTGATCAAAATCTATTTTTATTCCTCAGGCCTTTAATTTTGCACATCAAAATTAAAACCTTGATTTTTTTTATTTTTTTCCACTTTAGTTTGCCTCAATTTGTTTTTATTTCCCTTCTAATGGTGACACCTGCAATTTTTGTGATACAGTTTAAATTTCCAGCCAATACTGTTTTCAAAAATATTTTATTTTGTGTTAAAAGGAACAAGAGAATACGTTTTTATTTTGTCCTTCCTGTATTTACAGACAGAGTTCCCAGACTCCGATTTTATTAAATCAAGGACTTCAGAAACTATGGCGAGAAAATAAAATAAATTTACTAAATTCTATTGTGACCATGGAAGGGGTGATGATGGGGGAGGACATGCAGTATATGCTGGAGAGGTGGGGTCAGCAGGTTTTTTTGGTTTAGTTGAATCATTGGCAGTTCACCATTCTATCAGTGTAAAGTTTTATTGAATGATTTATCACCTTCGAGTAAGAAGAGCAGAGTAGCAGGTGTTAAGTCTTAGACGTTTTCCTGTCCTGAATCAGTGTTTCTGGGCTACAACCTCCTAGGTTATTCATCAATGAAGTTGGAAAGATATGACACTCAGTAGCCATTAATCAACAGCCTTTCTGCAGTAACCTGTAAGCAGTAGCATTATAATGCTCACTATCAGATATGTTCTTAAGTGTGTAACCCGGGCATTGTCAAAGGAAGTGGAAGATTCCAACAGTAAACCTGGTCTTTAAGGCAGCAAGCATTTCTCAAGAGAATTATGGAGCACAAATAAACAATTATTACCCTCACTTTTTTTAATGTTTATTTTCTTGTGTGTGCTCCCCCTGCTCCTTGGATGATAGCACACTTTCAGTTGCCTTAAAACAATAAACAAACAAACACTGATCATTTTTGTGTAGCAAAAATAAGCTGACAATGAAATTAAATTTGACAGTGAAATAAGTGGCTGAGAAAAACAATCATCAAAGTCAGTTATAGTAAAAACCTTTTGTTACCCAAACTTCTACAATGAAATTTTGGATATGCCATAAATAATTTCAATATAAGTAAAAGGATAATATCTCAAATTCATAAAACCTGAACAAAGTCCACTTAGAAGTAACTATGAAACTGTTATACAAAACCATGATTATGAAGAACTTGACAATAATTGTAACAATTAGTAATCATGTCTTATCTAAGGAGCATATGTATATGCTGAGAAAAGCAAAATATATATGAATAACAATGCTTTAACAAATTGTAAATCTGGGAAACTTTGGTAATGGTGAATTTATTCTGCTCATTTTCTGCATCATTTCATCTTCCCTTCCACCTTTTATTTCTTTATCTGTTTCCTCTCTGAATTTTTTTTCTCTGGTGCTAAGTTAAAGGCTACTCAGAGAGACATGGTAAAGTCCCCAAAATCTTTCCAGGACACTATTATCTGCTCCCACCATCAAGTGCCCATTGTTCAGTGTTGAAACTCAAGATATGCCTTCAGAATCAAATTCAAAAGAAGAAAAAGGCTTTACACAGCAGGCATACTAGTAAAGTTGTTTAAAAATCTAGTCCTTAAGAGGATAATGGATATAAGGTGACTAAAACAGTTAACCTAGCAATCAGAGGATGGTACTACTCCTACTTTGAACTCTGTAAAAGGAAAATAACTTTTTTAAAAAAACCCTGATTTTTAAAGTGGTGTTTTCAGAAGACTAATCGTAATAACACTCTCCTACTGACCCCAATCTGTAAGAAGGAGATAGATTAGTCCTTTTTACTGTGAAAGAAAATTTCTTCCACAATTTGAAGAAAAAAAGTAGCAAATAATGTTAAGTAAATGTTGTATAAAAGAGCTTAAAAGTCACAGAATGAAGAAAAAAGCACATTATAAAAATTAGGATAAGGGCCCAAGGGGAAATTGATGTTATCTAGCATTAAAATATCTAATAGGGAAAAATTTTACTGATTATTTACACGGATCCAAACCTATAATAACCTTTTTGAATGGTCCAATTTATACAGATAAGATTTCTTGTAACAATAGCAAAATATTCGTGCAGGACTACAAACACAATTATTAAATGAGTAGTAAGTGGTAATTGATTTTTAAATGTATAGGAGGTACAATTCTTTCAAAGAGTTTATTTAATTGGAAGATCCAAATGATTCTAAACAAAAAAAATAAATATATCATTCTTATAGTGATATTTAATATTGATCACTAACATTTTTTACAACTCAAGGGAATCCTGGGTTATAAGCAACACAGGACATCAAAATCAATAAAACTAATAAAAATAATTTGAAGCTTCTTAAAGATTAGTCTAATATTACTACCTTGAAAGCTGAGTCTGACATTGTAATAGTACTTTTGATGAAACTTTATATCATAGAGAGGTCAAGCCTTTTGGGTTAAAGAAACACTCAAGTTGGTATCAAAAACCATCAATAAAATATATAACAAAATTGATAAAATATATTTTTAGTAATTCTTAAATTGATGTTATTTAAAAAATAAATGGCTCAGATATTAATGATTTTGATATTATTAATTTTTAATATGCTGCAAAGAAGATATTTCTGAAGGATATATCTAAAAATCATGCTAATTTTGCAATAATAGAAACTTTTTTTTAATGAATGCAGCAGAATTCTTTTGTCTACTTGCTTATTTCATCTTCCTAGCATCATTTCATCATCTGTTTTATGGGGACTCCCTGAATTCCTCTTGAGAAAATCCCTTTGATTCCCAAGAGCAATTTAATCAATTGCTCTTCTCCATGGACAAACAACAGGATTCATTAGAATAAGTATTAAAAATAGATAGGAGTGGCCGGGCATGGTGGCTCATGCCTGTAATCCCAGCACTTTAGCAGCCCAAGGCAGGCAGATCATGAGATCAGGAGATGGAGACCATCCTGGCTCATACAGTGAAAGCCTGTCTGTACTAAAAGTACAAAAAGTTAGCTGGGTGTGGTGGTGCGTGCCTGTAATCCCAGCTGCTCGGGAGGCTGAGGCAGGAGAATCACTTGAACCCAGGTGTGTGGAAGGATTTTCAGTCCTTTTAGACCATCTTATCATTCACTGTATTTGATAAGCTGTCCAGATGATCTCGCCTATGACTCTGAACTTTTAAACAAAATTGTATTATTTTTCTGGTGGTCGCTGTAATAAATTTCTAAAAAGTTGGTGGTTTAAAACAACAGATTATTCTCTCAAAGTTCTGAAGTCCAGAAGTCAAAAATACAGATAGCAGCAGGGCTGCACTTTCTCCAGAGACACCTAAGAAAAATCAAGTTCTACAAAATCTACGCACTAAAAATAACAGAGTGTATGGGACAATAGAGTTGGAGCAGATAAATTAAAGCCTGTGCAATGTTCTAAGCCATGCACTGACAAAAACAATAATCCACACTTGTGAGATCACTTAGACCAGACAAACATCTCAGATGCACAAATGAAATGGAATGAAAACAATGGAAAGCTTTAGCTAGAGCAAGGCTGGTGGGTGCTGTGACAACAAGACCCAGTGGATCTACTTTTAAAGTGTGTATGAGAGGTGATGAAATAAAGTGAGGTCTATACAGAACTGGTAGTGCTCTCAGGGTGCAGAAGTTCATTTTTTAATACAGGCAAAAGAACTCCTGCTGCTAATGTAATCTTCCCTGCTGAACATTATAATTCCATTTCAGCCATCCCTGTTTCCATGGCTTAGAAAAATAAAAAGTCTGTGTACCAGTGTCACATAAATGTTATACTGTCAACATTTCTCTTGTTATCAATTTCCTGTATGTTAATTAGAGAAACAAGTATTGTGGTAGAACAGACTGTACAGTGATCTTTAAAAAAGCTATTTTTTTCTCCCCCTTGCCTAGTTGTTCAGTTTTTCATTTTATTGTAGATACTTCATAATCTCTTTGTTTGCTTGTTTTATTTTTCTTCGTGGAACCTAAGAACATTCGCTTATTCTAAAAATATGTATGTATATAGACAGATGAGAGGTATGTATATAGATAGATGTGTGTGGGGAGAGAGCGAGAGAGAATGTGACGTGCAGAAGTGTCTGGAAATCTATTACACTAGGTGCTGCTATCTTACATTTGGTTCATAACATATCCTCAGTGATCCCACAGACCACTGAGGCATTTTGCACCAAAATTTTCTCCATTGATTTTGTTTGTTCAATGGAACAGTAAATATGATAAATTTTTTAAAGTGGTGGGTTATACACAAACCATGATTAACTTTTTAATCTAAAATCCTTCTCTGTTGAAAAGTGAAAATGCGCAAGAGACTAGAGAATTCATCTGAGGCCCAGAGGAGCAAGACTACAAGGCATAATAATTGTGAGATTTTTGATCATTGTCAGTAGATGGATTTGACAGTTTTGATAATTGTGATAACAGACACTGAAAGAGAGATTTTGTGCCTCCTAGAAGTCAAGAACTGAGGCAGGGATTTATGGGCTCTGAGGTGGTCAGATAAGCAGAGACCAGCACATGAATTTGGGTATGAGAAGCATGAAAGAAACTGACATATATAAAAATCAATTACTCTTCTCCATGGGCAAATAACAGAATTCATTAAAATAAGTATTAAAAATAGATAGGAGTGGCCAGGCGCAGTGGCTCACACCTGTGATTCCAGCACTTTGGGAAGCTGAAGCAGGTGGACCATGAGGTCAGGAGATCGAGATCATCCTGGTCAACATGGTGAAACCCTATCTCTACTAAAAATACAAAAATTAGCTGGGCGTGATGGCACACACCTGTAATCCCAGTACTTTGGGAGGGCGAGGAGGATGGATCACCTGAGGTCAGGAGTTTGAGACCAGCTTGGCCAACATGGCAAAACCTCATCTCTACTAAAAACAAAACAAAACAAAAACAAAAAACAAAAATTAGCTGGGTGTTGTGGCGCACCTCCCAGTTAGTCGAGAGGCTGAGGTAAAAGAATCACTTGAACACAGGAGGCGGAGGTTGCAGTGAGCCAAGATGGCGCCACTGAACTCCAGCCTGGGCAATAGAGCGAGACTCCACCTCAAAAAAAAAATAAAAGACCTCAACAGATTCAGAACCATATCATAGTTCTAAATATAGAATATTAATAATTTTAAAATAGTAAATTATTTGTATCTCAATTTTCTCATTTGTCTGTCAATAAAGAGACACATTTTTCTGTGGTAGGCAGAATTGGCCCTCCAGAGATATCTGAGTCCCAACCCCAGAAGCTGTGAGCATGTTTACCTTCATTTGGCAAAAGAGACTTGAAAGATGTGGTTAATCAAAGATTCTCAAAGCAGGAAGATTATCCTGTAATGCCAAAATGGGCCCAATGTATTAAATGAGTTATTAAAATTGAAGAACACTTCCTGTCTGTGGTCTGAGGGAAATGTGACTGCTGAAGAAAAACAAGAGAAAGATTGGATATTGCTGGCTTTGAAAATGGGGAAATGAGGCCAAGAGCCGAGGAATACTGGCAGCCTTTAGAGTCTGGTAAAGAAATAGATTCTCCTTAGCACTTCCAGAAAGGAACCCAGCCTTGCCAAAATCTTGATTTTAGCTTAATGAGGCCTGTGCCAGACTTATGACATACAACACTATAAACCACTACACTCATATTGTTTCAAGCCATTCAATGTATGGAAGCTTACTATGACTGCTATAAAAAATGCAATTCTTAATATTGCTTTCAAATATGAATTAGTCCAAAAAATATGAATTATTTCCCTTTTTTAGCTAAAGTTGTCTTTCCTCCTGCCTTCTACTTCCCTTCACAGTTACCTTTTATGAGATCTAATATATTGATTTTTCTTTAGTAAGATGAAATTCCACTAATATTGATGTAAAAAGTATATACATCTAAAATATCAATTAATTCGTTTATAAGTGAATACTTTAAAATGTGTGAAGTATGAATTTCTATATGGAGATGTTTAAATTTTGGGCTGTGGATTTTTTATAAAGATATAATCCTGAAAACTTAATGTTATCATTCTATTCTTGTTGATAAATGTTGGCAAAATAAATAACTTTTGCCAGGTTTGTTATGTTTTGGAAATAGAAAATTTGACTTTTAAGTGGTCTGTGTTCTCTGAAGTAGTTTAAGCATATGAAAGCTTAAAGCATATATAAGCTTCAAGAGGACAGGAATTTAGTGTGTCTGTAGTCCCAGTAGCTGAAACAGTGTCTGGCATTTATTTAGGTAATTGGTAGTTAATATGAAGTTAATATATAATAAGTACAATTATAATTACCATCTTCAATTGTATATCGAATATGCTTATGCTTATATGTAGGTGCACATCCACAATTTGCTTAAAATGCAGAAATATTTCATTAAATTACCTTTTTTTTTTTTTTTTTTTTTTTAATTTGAGACGGAGTCTCACTCTCTCTCCCAGGCTGGAGTGCAGTGGCATGATCTCGGCTCTCTGCAACCTCTGCCTCCTGCATTCAAGCAATTCTTCTGCCTCAGCCTCCCGAATAGGTGGGACTACAGGCACGTGCCACCACATCCAGCATTTTTTTTTTTTTTTTGTATTTTTAATAGAGACGGGGTTTCACCGTGTTAGCCAGGATGGTCTCGATCTCCTCACCTCGTGATCCACCTGTCTCAGCCTCCCAAAGTGCTGGGATTACAGGCATGAGCCACTGCTCCCGGCCATTAAATTATCTTAAACTATATTTATGAATTATTGCAAGATGAGTAGTATTAACAACACTACTTGTTAACATTTATTAAGAATGAAAATAAAATTAAGGATGTGAAGAGAGGAGTAGAAAATTCTTAAAACATGGTGCTTAATTTTATCCAGAACAAAGTAAAGTGTCTTCTTCATTAAAACATTCCCATGTAACAAGATTACACATATTCAATTATTATTAGAAATTTTCTGTTTACACATGCATTCTGTGTCTTTCTTATTATTTATCATTTTCTGTGTACTACCGTGAGAGTAAAACTGTCATCCTCCAGTCAATTTTCTTTAGTAAATTTAAAATCATCTTTAATTTTAGTTTTCTTTTCTAAAGCTATAACTATTTCAGTGTGTCCTTTCTAAAGAAGGCCTTTGTGAAAAAAAAATCATATATTAAAATATACTTAGTTGGTAATTAAGAAAAATTTAAATTCTTGTTGCCCCAAATGTTTTTAACTTTTTAAAAATGATTTCTCTATTAAGCTGTCAGAACTATGCTAATATACTCTTTCTATAGTGAATTTAATTTGATAAGTTTGCTTATCAATTAGTAAAACAGTAACACATACAAAGAAAAATACGCTTTCAGGTCCTTGACATATCTATTTCCTTTAGTAATAATCAACAGGTTAAAATTTGATTTCAAATAGAAAGGAACCAGGAGTTGATCTCTCACATTCATCATTGTCTGTACATTATTGTTTTGCTTCCCTTTTTTAGCAATGGGTAGGTGATGAACTAATATTGAACATGAAGACCAGGCTCTAGCGGACACAGAGAGGAGAGATTAAATTGGGAACTGAAGGGGGCACACACATTTCTGCCAGCACTTCCCAGACCTGGAGGCCACTCTGCTCATTTGTAAGCCTGATGACTTTCCCTTAAAAGAGGACGCCAATTTAAAACAAGTAAAGATTTTCTTATTAGTGGCTAAAGGCAACTGATATACTTCACAACCCACTCAACCACTGCTGCAGAGTTTTTGAAATTCTTTGAGGTTTTGCAAGCCTTCTGCATTATACATTACTACTTGTGCAACAGAAGACAATTTAAAGATCTCTTGGAGCACAGAATTTAAAGTTCAACTATTCTGAAACACTGCAGGGAGTCTAGAGAAGAGGGGGAAATGGCAAGAGAAATGTATAAGTTTCAGACAGAACTTTAAAAAATAAGCATAATTTATATTTTATAATATTTTATGTCTCTCAGACACATTCTCAACTTATCATACAACTTAGTTAAGTAAAGTTCCAGGTCATAATACTCTTTTATTATTTATATTTGATTATTAATAGTTCACATTGGGTGACAAAAATAACTAATTTAAATACTTTTGTTTCTATTTCAAAGTGCAAATGTATGTTAAGAACAAAACATTTCACTCAGACCCTCATAAAGACTTTTGTACATAAGTATTATATAGGATCTCTGTATAGGAAGTTAAAGACAGCTTGGCATGGTGTCTTGCAATTATTTAAACTTTGTTCTTCACGAAGTAGGTAAGTTTTTAAATCATATTAATGACATGCTTTCTTAGGGTTTTGCACGTATTGGAAGATTTCTCAAATACCTCATTTTATCAATTTGTTTACAGAAAAATATATTGTGAACCATGAGAAGAAGGTGGTCTATGGTCTTTAAAACATCATAATTTGATTATGGCATAATGGAATTTTAAATAGAGAGAGAAAAACT
This sequence comes from Homo sapiens, assembly GCF_000001405.40. Lineage (NCBI taxonomy): Eukaryota > Metazoa > Chordata > Mammalia > Primates > Hominidae > Homo > Homo sapiens. The sequence continues at coordinate 135,354,377 of NC_000004.12, read as the reverse complement.
GATAATATCTGGGTTTGATACAATTATTTATTCTCCTGTCAAGCATCAGTTGCCTCTTCACTAGGTTTAATATTTATCTCTTGTTAACCTATTACAGAGGGAATGGGAGACTCCCAGTTTATCTAATTGCTGAACATTTAGAAGAGGTGAGTTAGATATGAGATTATAAATCTTAGAAGTAGAGATACTCTCATGAAATCATCAGTTCCAGGCTGATTTTATAGATGATTAGAACACAATTATTTGTAGAATTGCTTATACAATAATTTCTTCTCACAGCTACTGTTTACTTTCAAGGCTACTGATATTTTTCAAAGAAAAAATCCATAGAGTTATAGAGCACCCATCATTTCAGTGATATAAATTTAATAGTTCAATTTTATTCAATTTAAATATTTCAGTGGGTCTTGCTCTGTTTTAGTAAACCCCAATAATTTAATGGAGAAAGAAGGAAAGAAAACAAAACAAAATATAAAATAAAATGTAAGAACAAAACTAATCAATTACTAATTATTGCACGTTATATTTAACCATTTTCTGCCAGTACAAAATAATAATATGTAAAGATCCTCAAGTATTTATTTATAGTACAAAACAACAGCTATACAAAATATTCTCATTTTACTTTCAGCAGGTAGTAAATAAGCATCTTGATTACTTTTAAATTATTAATATTTCTAAATAAATGCTAGAGAATGTGAACCTTTAGTCAAATATATTAAGATTGTGATACTTTTAACAGCTGATATGATGTAGAAAATATAAAATAACATAAAAGAGTATTTTAAAATTGACATAAACTCAAGTTACTTCCTTATAAAATCATCTCTTGAAATATCTTTTTCTCTACGTTATTTTAAAAATGGGAGGAATGAGGTCACAGAATAAAAATAAACTATCTGGCAGTTTTTTAAAGTAAAATGGAATAATAAAATACATGATATTTTAGGACTACCAACCAGTAGTTATTAATATTTTCAATTCCTAGATTATACATAAAAATGAGGACAAGTATTTCATAATGCTGTTTCAAAACATTCTTTTTCTCTCCATATCCGTGTATCATATAATGAAAAGAAATGAAAGAACACATAATTTTGGAGACTTGCTTTTTTCTCAAATTATTTGTTGAAGGAAATCTCTTAATATCAAGAGAGTAATTTTGCATTGTCAGCATAAACAATTTTTTAAGGAGTTTGAAAGACACGTAGAACATGTGCAGGTGTAGAGAAATGGATCCATTAAAGTTGAATAAATCACCACAATTTTTAAATTTCAGCGATAATTTCTCTAGGTAGCCCTCATATTTGCCTGACTCCATCACAGTTCTACCTCCAGAGAACACACTTTTCACCCTCCATTGCTGCCTACTTTTAATTCACTTTAGAGAACTAAGATTAGATACTGAAGCTGGATATTGCAGTTGTCAAACCCAAAGTCCTTTAAAAGTAGAAAATTCGTCTGTTCCCACTTAGCAGCACCTGGCCTTAATCTATATGAAAACAGTCGCATAAACTAGGTGGAAAACTCCTTCCCCAGTTTGCAAATACCTCTGGTAGCATTCTTGGAACATTTTATCTAAAGAATGTCCCTCTTAAGAATAAATGTTGTGTCAGTATAGCCTATTACCACATGACATGTGGTAAGGCTTTTGTTAGTATATTGCTCATGATCATAAACTCCTAGATTATGTTTTGAACATTCAAAGAACATTATTGCATTTATTATTAGGGACTATGCCATGGAAGCATTTTATATGTCAGAGTTTTAATTTATATTGCCTCCTACAACACAAGTTCTGAAGTTGGTAGAATATGAAGGAACCCATAACATCAAGCCAACCATACAGTAAATATCTAGCACTACTTTGCATACATGAGGCACACACTTTTTCTTTCCCAACATGGTAAACTATAGGTAAAATTCCAGATTTGGAGCACCTGATATTGTATTTGATATTTATCTTTTTCTGTAGATTTTATAAGGTTACTTTATTATCACTGGATATTGAAAGAAATTTCTGTTCACTTAAATGGAGTGATATAGAAACTCAGAAATAATCAACTACATGCCATTCATGAACGTTTGTGAAACAGACATCACAAATAAATAAATATACATCATGCTGTGTAAATTGTCTCTATTGTTCAAATTAAAATGTATGTTCATTCTAGATATGTTCATTAGGGTGAAAAAAAAGTAAGATAAACATATGTCAATTCAATTTCCAAATGTTTTCAGCAATTATGCTTTAAAAAAAAAAAAGATACAACTGTAGGAAGAATGAGATCAACATAGAAAAGCTAATGATTTAATGGCCAAAAGTGAAAAACCAACATGTGAAAAATAGTAAAAATTTAAAAAGTAGATTTTTTTTCCTAGGTTACACAATTAAGTAAGGAATTAAAAAAAGAAAATAACATATACCTTTATATTTCTTCACAAGTCATGGTTTACCATATAGAAGTTTGACTTTTTGCTAATGTTTTATTTAAATATGTGGATTCTAATATTCTTTTCTCGATAACTGTTCCATGGCAGGATGCTTAGATAGTATAGATTTATGTCTTTCATAGAGCATAAATTGTGCCAGAACCTGATTAAAGTTTACAGATAAAGAAACCAACATTTTTTCATTGCTTTGACAAAAATGTGTTTTTAAAGAGTTACATGCTCTTAATAATTTTATTTAATGATCAAATCCTTTTTAACAATCACATAATTTTTTTAAATCACCATTTTTCTCTAAGAATCATAAAAAAGTTATGAGAAGGATCATTTCTTCAACTGAGCTATATATTACATAGGTGTGAAATACAGTATTAATAAAAACAAGGTTTTCTTATTGTGTCAACAACATTTTATTAACTCTTAATTTATAATAGAGAATGTTTGAGTCTTTGTGATAATTTCCTGTAATCAACACTAATAAAAGCATACTCTGGAATAGCTTATCAATAAGTATATTTCCTTTGATAATATACTCAATCTTTTCACAACATGGGGTCCAAGAAAAAATTTTTTTCTGTGTTTCACACTGGACACAACATTGAATATATGTCTAGAGATATCATAGGCCTTCCAAGAACATTGTTAAAAACAAGTGAACAAAGGAGTAGGATTCAAAATATACAGTGTACCAACAGAAAAGTTTTGTGAATAAAGGACTGGATTATTTCTAAGTTGAAAAAGATATATATTATTATTTCCTAAATCTGTTTATTGCCTTTACTGTTTTACAACATTTTTGCAATTTATTCAACCATGGATGTCTTTTTGAATTATAATGTATTGATAGAAAACCCATAGGAGCTCACATAATATAACGCTTCCTTTTAGTAAAGTATTAGTTCTAATGTCATATCACAGATGGATTATAATTTCTACAAAAAATTATCAGCGTAGGAATTTATTAGTTAAATCTGTGGACTACAATCTATCCTATATCAATTCTCCACTTGCTCCCTACAGCTCTCAGCCTTGTGAATCTGAATTGTATGAACTACAGCTGGCTGTCTTCCTCTCTGTGATTCTTCCAATTCCTTTGTAGTTTTTAAAATATTGATACGTAATAATTGCACAAATTTATGGGACACATGGGATTTTGATGCATGCATAGAATGTGGAATGATCTAATTAGGGTATTTAGGATACCCATCACCTGAAACACTTATCATTTTGGGGGGTATTAGGAACATTTCAAATCTTCTAGCTATTTTGAGATATACAATAAATTACTGTTAACTGTGGTGAACCTAGGGTGCTGTTAAACACTAGAACTTACTCCTTCAATCTAACTGTGTTTGTACCCATTAACAAATTTCTCTTAATTCCCCTGCCCCACCTTTTCCCAGATTCTTGTGACTATCATTTTACTTTCTACTTCCAAAAGATCAGCTATTTTAGCTTTTACATATGAGTAAAAACATGTGATATTTGTCTTTCTGTGTCTGGCTTATTTCACTTGTCATAATGACCTCCAGTTCCACCCATGTTGTTGCAAATGATAGAATTTCCTCCTTTTTTTAAGCTGCATTGTATTCCATTGGGTATATTTATACCACATTTACTTTACTTAAATGTTAATGGAGACTTAGTTTGATTTAAATATCCTAAGTGTTGTGAACAGTGCTGTAATAAAAAAGGGAAGTGATGATTTCTCTTTAACACACAGATTGTCTTTCCTTTGGATACATATGTAGTAGTGGGATTGCTGGATTATATGGTAGTTGAATTTTTAGTTTTTTGAGAAACCTCCATACTATTTTCCAAAATGGTTATGCTAATTTACATTCCCATCATCAGGGTATGAGAGTTCCCTTTTCTCCACAAATATTCTATTATTTGTTATCTTTTTAACAATAGCGATTCTGAGGTGAGATGATTATCTCATTGCGGTTTTAATTTGCATTTCTCTCATGATTAGTTACGTTGAACAGTTTTCCATATAGCTGTTGGCCATTTGTAAGTCTATTTCTGAAAATTGTCTTTTCAGAATCTCTGTCCAATTTTTAATAGGATTTTTTGTAGTTGCATAGTTTGAGTTTTTATTATATTTTGGATATTAGTCTCTTATTGGATGAATAGTTGGCAGGTATTTTATTTCATTTTACAGATTATCTGTTCGCTCTGCTGATTTTCTTTGTGGTGCATAAGCTTTTTAGTTCAACATTTTCCATTAGCCTATTTTTGTTTTTGTCACCTGTGCTTTTGAAGTCTTAGCCATAAAATGTATGCCTAGACCTATATCCCGAAGCATTTCCCTTAAATTTTTTAATAATAGTTTTATAGTTTTATCTTACATTTATATCTTTAATTTATTTTTACATGCATTTTGTATATGGTGTGAGATGGGGTCCAGTTTTATTCTTCTATATGTGGATATTCAGTTTTCCCAGCACCCTTTGTGGAAGAGGGTGTCCCTTCCGCAATGTATGTTCTTGTCTCTCCGTTTAAAATCAGTTGGCCGTAAACATGTAGATTAATTTCTGGGTTCTCTATTTTTTCCTATTGGTTCTTCGGCCTATTTTGTGCCAGTACTATGCTGCTCCGCACACCATAGGTCTGTATTACATTTGAAGTCAGGTAGTATGTTATTTTCAGCTTTGTATTTTGTACTCAGTATTACTTTGGGTAGTCAGGGTCTCTGTGGTTCCATACACATTTTAGGATTGTTTTGTTTTGTTTTCCTGCTAAGAATGTCAGTGGCTTTTTGGTAGGGATGACATTGAATCTTTAGATTAAGTTGATTAGTATTGTAATTTTAACAATATTAATTCTTTTGGTCCATGAGCATGAGATGTATTTTCATTTGTTTCTTTCTCTTTAATTTCTTTCATCATTGTTTTGTAGTATTTCTTATAAAGGTCTTTTATCTGTTTGTTAAATTTATTTTTAGATATTTTATTTTTATGATAGCTATTTTAAATGAGATTGCTTCCTTGATTTCTTTTTCTGCTAGTTTGTTGTTGGTATATAGAAATGCTACTAATTTTTATGTTCCTATTTTTTATTCTATAACTTTATTGAATTAATTTATCTGTTCTAAAAAATTTTTGTGGAGTCTAGGTTTTTCTGTATATCAGATTATGTCATCTGCAAAGAGGGACAATTTCACTTTCTCTTTTCCAATTTGGATGTCTTTTTATTTTTTTTCTCTTGCCTGATTGATCTGTCTAGGACTTTCAGGGTCATGTTTAATAAGAGTGGTGAAAGTAAATCTTTGTCTTGCTCCAGATCCTAGAGGAAAGGTATACAGCTTTTCCTCATTCAGTATGACTTTAGCCATGAGTTTGTCAAACATGGGCTTTATTATGTTGAGATTTGTTCCTTTTATGCCTAGTTTGTTGAGAGTTTTTATCTTGAAGGGATATTAAATTTTATTAAATGCTTTCTCTGCCTCTACAGAGGTAATCATATGTTTTTTGTACTTTTCTACTGAGATAATTGATACATCACTTTTATTTAATATTTTATTATTTTATTATATTTATTTTCATATGTTGAACCATCTTTATGTCCCTGGAATGGATCCTACTTGACTATGGTGAATGATCCTTTTAATGTGTTGTGGAATTCAGTCTGCTAATACTTTGTTGAGGATTTTGCATCTATGTTCACTAGGTATATTGATCTTTAGAGTTTTTATTTGGTTGGATCTTTGTCTGGTTTTGCAATCAAGGTAATACTGGCCTCAGAGAATGGGTTAGAAGGAATACTTTCCTCTTATGCTTTTGGGAATAATTTGAGAAGAATTGATGTTCTTTATAAGTTTGGTAGAATTCAAACCAAACTCATAAAGCCATCCAGTCCTAGGCTTTTCTTAGACATTTTATTACTGATTCAATCTCACTACTTGTTCCTGATCTATTCAGGCTTTCTATTTCTTCCTGTTTCAATATTTGTAGATTATAGATGTCCAGGTATTTACCTATTTCCTCTAAGAATATCAATTTGTTAACATATAGTTATTCATAATAGTCTCAAATAATCCTTTATGTTTCGGTTGTCACAGTTGTTAAATATTTTTGTTGTTGTTTTGATTTATTTACTTGAATCTTCTCTCTTTATTTCTTGGTTAGTCTCACTAGTGGCTTACTGATTTTGTTTATCTTTTCAAAATTTTGTTTTATTTCCTTCTTAATTTCTAAATTTCTTAATTTTTCAATTTTCTTCTTAATTTCCACTTTGATCCAATTGTTCAGGAGCATGTTGACTAATTTCTATGCATTTGAACAATTTTAAAAGTTTCTGTTTTTATTAACTTCTAGTTTTATTTCACTGTGATCTTAGAAAATATTTTATATTTCAATGTTTTAAAATTTGTTGACTTATTTCTGACCTTACATGTAGTTTATCCATGTGCTGATATGAAAAATGGGTATTCTGCAGCTGCTGAATAAAATGTCCTCTAAATGTCTGTTAGTTTCATTTGGTCTAAAGTGCAGCTTAAATTCCATGTTTCCTTGTTGATTTTCTGTGTAAGTGATCTATCCAATGCTGAGAGTGGTGTGTTGACATTCTCAATTATTATTGTATTGGAATCTACTTCTCCCTTTAGATCTAATAATATAATTGCTTTATATGTCTAGGTGCTTTCAATTTGGGTGAAAACATATGTAGAATTGTTATATTCTATTGCTGAATTTATCTCTTTATAATTATATAGTGACCTTTGTTGTCTCTATTTATGGTTTTTGACACAAAGTCTGTTTTATCTGAAATAAGTATGGCTACTATTGCTCACATTTGGATTTTCTTTGAAAGCAATATATTTTTGAATCCTTTCATTTTTATTTGATTCTTGTCTTTACAAGTAAAGTGATTTTCTCCTAGACAGCATATAGTTGGTTATTTTTTTCTATCTATTCAGCTAGTCTATATCTTTTAAGCATTGAATTTAATGTATTCATATTCGAGTTTATTATTGAAAATATCTTGAAAACTTAATTTTGTTTATTGTTTTCTGATTGTTTTGTGTATAATTTGTTCCTTTCTTTCTCTATTATTATTTATCATTGTGGTTTGGTGGTTTTCTGTAGTGGTAACATTTGACATTTTTCTCCTTCTCATTTGACTATTTGCTCTATGTATTTGTGTGTTTTCATGATACGATATTATAATAGCTATACATCTTATGTATATATAGATATACATAAGAAATATAGAAATATAACACACCCATACATATTTCTTCCTGATGTAGTAATTCTTTAAGCATTTCTTGTAGAGCTGGTCTAGTGGTGACAAATTTCCTCAGTTTTCGCTCATCTTGGATAAGCAAAAACTTATTTCTCCTTTATTTTTGAAGGACAGATTTGTTGGGTATAGTGTTCTAAAAGTTTAAACATATCATTCCATTCTCTTCAGGCCTGTAAGGTTTCTGCTGAAAAATCTGCTCTTAGTCTGATGGTGATCTCCTTATATCTGACTTAATCCTTTTCTCTTGCTGTTTATAGAATTTTCTTTTTGTCTTTGAATCTTTATATTTTGACTATAATGTGCCTTAGAGAAGACCTACTCTTGCTTCTACTTTCAATATTTCAGTTGAAAGTATGTGGAGATCTTTGAGCCTCTTATAATTAAATGTCTATATATTTTGAAAGACTTTGGAATTTTTCAGTCATTATTTTTAAAATAGGTTTTCTATGTGTTTGCTTATATCTTCTCCTTCTGAAAATCTCAAAATTAGAATATTTGCTTGTTTTATGTTGTGTCATATGTCACACAGGCTTTCTTCATTCTCATTTATGTATGTATTTATGTATTTATTTATCTATCTATTTTTGCCTGACTAGATTGCTTGAAAATCTATCTCCAAGTTCAGAAATTATTTATTTTCTTTGATCTAGTCCATTGTTGAAACTCTCAATAATATTTTTTATTTTATTTATTGAATTATTTGTTTTCAAGATTTATGTTTGATTCTTTAGGATATCTATCTTTTAGTTGAATTTCCAATTCAAATAATAAATTCTTTTTCTATTGTATTACATATCTGTGTTCTCTTCCATCTTACTGAGTTTCTTTAATGTTATTTTTGAAAACACTTTTTCTTATATGGGTATATATTGTGTTAGTTGGGTAGTACAATTTGGTTTTAATGCTTTGTGGGTACAGCAGTTCAGTCTCTGTACGGGTTATTTGACTATAATCAGCATCACTAATACCTGTGAGTTCTTCAGGGACTTAGTTTGCAGTCATTAGTGGAGGCTGTAGTAAGGCTTTCCTGGGGACAGGAAAACAAAGCAGACTCCTCTTTGGGTACCAGTGGTGGTGACTGCAGGCTAGGCATGTCCGTCCTTGGGCCCATGGACAGATGATGCCCATGGCATCAGTGGTAGCTAGTCTAGGTGGGCCTATCCTTGTCCATTAGGCAGTAAGACCAGTGGACCAGGTGGGTTGGTGGGGCCTTGAACCCCTCAATTTTGTGTATGGTGTTGTCAGTAGCAGCATTAGACCAACTCTCTAGCCCCATCAGCATGTGTGGGTGCCAACAGTTGTGATGGTGAATGGGGCAGGCCAATCCCCAGACCCTAAGTGATGTGTGTGTGGGTTCTGGTGGCAGTGGTGGAGGCAGGCTCAGTGGCCCAGTCCCTAGACCCAGGAAAGCACATATGGACGTTGGTAGTGGGCACAGTAGGCCCATCTTCAGGCTCCCAAAAGGCTTGTATGAGTACTGGCAGTGGCATACTGAGTGGGTTGATCCCCAGACTGCTGGATGATGTACATGGGCACTAGCACAGGCAGGAATGGGTGCAGAAAATATATCTTCAGACTCCTCAGTGTTGCACATGAGCACCGGCTGCGGTAGTTGCTCTTCCAGTGGGTGGTTCAATTCCCATGTCTTCGGACATGGCTGGTGCACTTAGGCATCAACAGCAGTATCAGAAGGCCGGGTAAGCCTGTCCTCAGGCCCCCCAGTCGTGTGCATAGGTGCTCACTATGAGAGGTGCAATGAGTTAATCCCAAACTGGATGACACATGCAGGAATTGATGGCAGTGGCAATAAGAGGGGTGAGCCTGTTATCATGCTTGCTGATGCTATGTGCAGGCACTGGTGGTGGCAGGAAGAGCAGATATGCCCTCAGGTCTTCTGATGGTGCATGTGGATGCCAGTATGGTGGGTGTGGCAGCTCAATCCCCAGTCCCTGGGCAATGCACACAGACACTGGCGGTGATGGGGTGGGCAGGGAGAACCTGTTCTCAGGCCACCCAATGATGTTACTCAAGTGTCAGCTGTGAAGCGCCAGGGGTATCAATTTCCAGGCCACCTGACTACATGCTCAGGTGACAGCACTGGCAGCAGCAAGCAGGGTGGCTCTGTCTATAGGCTCCAGGATGGCATCTAGGCCAGCTACTCCCCAGTCCCATTGAAAATGTGTGCAGGTGCATGACAATCCTGCTGTTGGAGGTAGGTTGCTATTAGTGACAGGATCCCCATGCAGGTGGCTGTCAGGCACTGGGAAGCACATGCTTTGGCTATCTTTGTCCTGGGGTCAACTGCCCTGTTGCACTGCATTGCCTATTCCAAGGGGTGTAGGTAGCTGCATAGGCTAAAGTGCTAAAAACCCAGCCTCACCACTGGGTCCAGCCAGCATCATAATGCTGCAACCCTCTGAATGGATGTAGGGAAGATGTCAATAGAGTTCCATAGATGTCTAGATGCAGGGGCTGTTGGGCCCCAGGACAGGATGCAGTCAGGCGGGGGCTGGGCTGTCAAAATGGCACCATCCTACAGCTGCTTATATCTTGGGGTTAAAGTATGGGACCCAGCATGAACTTCCTCTCTGCAGCAATGCTGTCACATGGTCTCCAGGTAGCTCCCTGTATTAGTTAGTTTCAGGGTCTGTGAGGGCCAAGGGTCTCTCCTGTGGCTAGGACCGCAGGAGCTTATAGTGGAAATGTGGATGGCTGAGGACCTTTTGCTTAGCTTTTCCCCACAGTGGGGAGTTTCTCCTGGCTTCAAGTTAATCGCAGCTGAGCTGGCTGCTTTCCCTCTTCTTCTATGCCTCAGAGGTTCCCTGTCCCTTCCCTGCTAAATCCATTGTCCTGTCTTATATTATCTATTTGATAAGTGTTTATCTACCTATTGTTTTTTTCTCTCTTTGTGGAAGAGGTTGAGTGCCAGGCACCACTAGTCAGCCATCATCAACTGAGTATGACTTATTTATTTTTTAAGAGCAACCAAAAATTCGAGATAATATGAACAAACTTTTAAAATACAAAATACTATGTAAATCACATTGAATTGCAATGCTGTTTAGCTGTTCTATACAACTTTGTTTTCCTCACCACCACTAATTCATAAACTCAGTGAATTAGTTTTTACATTTCTTTAATATTCATGAAAGTATTTGGTTATTGAAAATGATATTCCTAAATCCACAAATATTATCTTTATGAGTAGGCTTAATTGAAGAAAGAAAAGTAAGATGAATCACATTTTCCACTAAAATCCTCAGTACTCTAAAGAGTGATTTTAGCAACTAGCTGTTAGGACTCTCATTGTGAATTGATTGGTTCAAAGTATTTGTTCAAATCTTTTTTTCTTTGGATTTTAATTTTAGGGTAGTTTTCCAGTGGTTCACAAAGTCTTTAACTAATTTTTTGTTTCTTTATAAAGTGTGTTGTAATAGATAGAACACTTGCAAATAGGACAAGCCCAAAATTCTTGACATTGCCACTGGTTTATTTAAGCTTATCACAAAATTATTCTGAGACTCGCTTTTCTATCTTGAACAGTTTCTGTATCTTGTGTTATATTAATCATTTAAAATTTTGAATTTGGACAAATAAGCACTATAGATCTTCCTTATTAGAGAACTTATGTTGCTTTTTGTTATTCAGTGACATGAACAGTAATATTGGAAATTTCTCAAAACCGAACATGTTAAATGTGGTCGTAGCAATCAAATAGGAGCCCAGATATCCATTAAAGTTCAGTAACTGTGGCCTTTATAAGGTTTGAAATGTAATGTTTCATTAATAACATGCACTATCACCTTCCAAAGTGACAAACAGGTATCTTACATCAGTTATAATCAATTATCTGCTTTTAAAAAATATCTTTTAAATGCTAGAACTTTATGACTCATTTCAGCTAATATTAAATACAATCTAGGTCAATAAACACTTGCTTTTTTACGTAATAGTTTGTAAAGATTGCTTCTTCAAGTTTATTGTCATTTTATAATGTTTCAGTTTCTGAAAAGTAGCATTTTTCTATTGTATGCCTTTTAAGATCATCAAGATGCAAATGTGAGTGGAAACTTGGCAAATTTTTAATTTTTTTTTTTGTTAATCTGAGTTTGAGAAGAGTTCTATATCAAGAGGAAGTATAATCGCAATCTTCTGCTTAAAATCCTAACTACTGGCCATTATCTGTGTTGGAGGTGCTATCAAAAACAAGTGTCCTAAACTCATCCTAAGAAATTAAGGTTAATTAGAGGCTCCTATTACCACCTGTATGGAAATCGAATGCTTTTCTCAAAATATTCTCAAGGGCTTATTTCTCTTGATCTTCTCAAGATCTTCTTGTTCCTGCCTTGCTGAACTTGAATGTTCTCTCTGTTTGTTTATTCTCTTTTTCTACCTCAGTCCATATAGAAAATTTAGCTTCTTTCCTTTGGTTTCTATTAAAAGCAAAATAAGACAAAAGTTTACTTATACTAATTTAGAAGGGTGTATTGAAAGATTGTAGAGCTAAATGGAGTTTGATGGGCAGAGGAGAAAATTCTTTGAGAGTGAATTTTGGATATACTTCTGAAGATTGTTGGCAATTTGAACAAGATGCTTGGCTGTCTCTTACCACCAAGACATTCTATTTCTCTTTTATCACTCTACGTGTCTTCAGTTTCTTCATGGAAACTCTTGTCCTCTTATTTTATTACTAAAGAAATTTCTCTTTCCACTTCCTCAGGTATCTCTGCCTGTATTTACATATTCAACTACCATTAGCAGCCCAGAGAAAATGGCAGATATTTAAAATTTCAATCTTTTCTTTTTAACATGTCCTTTCATAGAGTAATGAGAAGCCTTTATAAATAGCTACATAATTCCTTTGAAAGATAGAGAGCAGTCTTTCTGTTTGTTTTAAATACATGTATATTTAAATATAGTATGTGTAACAGATTTTATATAGATGTATATAAAATATATATTTTTACACATATAAATATGTATAGTATATGTAAAATATATGTGTAAAGTAAAAGGATTAATTGTAATAAAAAAATGAAAGTGAGAGTGTCCTGGGCCACACAACAGGAGGTGAGCAGTGGGTGAGAGTAATGTTCTCATGGTACTGGTCCCTGACCTATTAGGAACTGGGCTGCACAGCAGGAGATGAGCAATGGGTGAACAATCATTACTGTCTGAGCTCCGCCTCCTGTCAGATCAACAGCAGCATTAGAGTCTCATCGGAGGGCAAACCTATTATGAACTGCTTATGCGATGGTTGTGGGTTGTGCACTCCTTATGAAAATCTAACTAATGCCTTATGATCTGAGGTGGAACAGTTTCATCCCCAAATCATCCACTGCCCCCCTACCTCCACCCACCATGTCCGTCCACTATACTGGTCCCTGGTGCCGGAAAGGTTGAAGACCACTGCTTTAGTTGCTTCATTTTCCTTGTTTCTGTGTATGGTTCCACTTGGGATATTAATGTGTATAGATTCTGTGGGTACAAGTAAAAGAGGAAGCCTGATTAGAACAAATTCATGTACATATACGTAGTGTTTTTTTCTAAGTTTAAGACATTGTCTTATTATGGTTAGAATCTTTTCAACAACAGAAGTTCAATAATCATTCATTTTTATTACAATTAGTTATTCTACTTCATTTGAGGAAGACCTTAAAAGTGACATAGAGAAACAATTGTAGAAAATATTTTTTTCAAACAAAATCTACATTGAAAGAATTTTGCAAATTCTCTCTGAATTTTTAAAGATATACTAATCTCCAACTCCTAATATTTTTAGCCATTATTCTTTCTGTAGCTAAAGAATATTCTGATTAACCTGAAAATGTTATCCAGTTGAATGTCATGATTATTATCCTAATTTATTTCCATATGTGATATTATGTTGGTTAATATGAACTTACGAAGACTTCTGACTAATAAGAGTTCAAAGTTTAAGTCCTACAGGGAAGATATTCTGGCTTTCTGAATACCACCAAAGGAAATCTCTTCATTAGTGCTCTCACTGGTAAAGAGACCCATGTTCTTCAGTGTCTCCCGCTGGGAAATTTTTTATAAATAAATTCCTGCTGGAATCTCATCTTGAATATGATCTCTAAATATAAATATGTCAAACGTTCACTGCCAATATTTTACTCTACTTGGCTATGGCATAAAACTGAAAATCATTCTCTATTTCCTTTTATAAATATTTAATTTTTACCAAAGTGGTATATATGAACATGGTAGCACATCACTAGTTTAATAGAGTCTTTGTATACCCCAATATTTTTCTTTCCAGGCCTGTGTCTTCCCAGAGACAAAGTCTTAAACAATTATGTCTAATTGTTCAAAGGAATGCTGCTACAGTTCTGTGTTCTTTTCTCTATACAATGATCTATCATTCATTGACAAAGCCTATTGTTGCCATAAAAGATGCATCTGTAGCTAAAGTGTATAATTTCCTTAGACTTTTTTTCTCCATGTAAAATTTTATTATTATTTTACTTTCAATTCTCTACCGGTTTTCGGTCAAAAATATTTAAATTAATTGATATTTACTTTTTTGTTGACTTTTATCCATTTTTTACTTCCCTTAATGTGGCATTTGCAACACGGTGTTCATTCTTGTAGCCATATTTCTTCTTTTACTTTGTCTCACTTTCTGCTACATAGGTTTATACATTAAAATATCATTTGTTGGCCGGGCACAGTGGCTCACGCCTATAATCCCAGCACTGTGGGAGGCCGATGCAGGCGGATCACGAGGTCAGGAGATTGAGACCATCTGGCTAACACGGTGAAACCCTGTCTGTACTAAAAATACAAAAATACAAAAAAATCAGCCGGGCATGGTGGCACGTGCCTGTAGTCTCAGCTACTCGGGAAGCTGAGGCAGAAGAATCGCTTGAACCCAGGAGGCAGAGGTTACAGTGAGCCGAGATCACGCCACTGCACACCAGCCTGGGTGACAGAATGAGACTCCATGTCAAAAAAAAAAAAAAGTCATTTTTTCATATTTGTATTGTATCCTGCAACTACAACAACATTCTTATGTTTTTTTCCACAGGTTACATTACACCTTAAAACAAGAAAATGTTATATAAAATATTTCGATTATATGCATATGCAAAATTATATTTCAAGAGATATATAATAAATGATATAAACTATTCATATAGATATAGATTAGAAAAAATAGGTGATGAAAATAACTTACTAGTACATTAAGATTGTGCATGTTTTAGATTGCACATGCCACATTTTGGAACCAACTAAGATATTCTCTGGTACGTGAATGAACAAATAAGCTGTGATGCATCCAGACAATGAAATATTATTCAGCACTAAAATGAAATGAGCTATCAAGCCATGAGAAGACACAGAGGAAAGTAAATGCATATTAGTAAGTGTAGAAAGCCAATCTGAAAGGTCTACATATGTATGATTCCAACTATACTGTCTGGAAAACGCAAAACTATGGAGACTATAAACTGATCAATAGTTGCCAGAGGTTAGGGTGCAAAGAGGAATGGCTAGGCCAAACAGTAAAGACTTTTAGGGCAGTAAAACAGCTCTGTATACTATCATGGTGGGCATGTGTCATTATGCATTTGTCCAAACCCATAGAATGTTCAACACCAAAAGTGAATCCTAGTGGAAACTATACGTTTTCAGTGATAATGCTGCCTTAATGTAGGTTCATAGATTGTAACAAATGTACCACTCTGGTGGGAGATGTTGATAGCAAGGGAAGTTATTCATGTGTGTAGACAGGGAGTATGTGGAAAATCTTTTTACTTTTTGCTCAGTTTTGGTGTGAACATAAAACTGTTCTGAAAAAAAAGTTTAAAACATTACTATACTGTATGCCACATTTGATGATTTTTATATGAAAAATTATGGCATTCAATTTTAAATGAATCACTAAACAAATAAAATTAGTTGAATTAGAAGAAAAGATACAACTCAGGTTAAATATCTTTAAGTAGTCATTTTTCTAATGCAAATTTTATTAATTGTGGTTATAGTTGTAATACAAAATCTTTTATAATATCTAGAGTGCTATAATAATTTTAATATACATATATTAAGTATAAATACATATAAGATATTTATTCTCATTGTGAGAAAGCTGTTTTAATTATAGAAGTTGATGTCTGGTGTTAGCAGTTAGCATTTCCACATTATTCCACTCTGATAACTCTAAACTCTTTATCCTTCTCCTGGCTGCATTCCAAGCTGAGTAATCTTGTTCACCTAAATTTTTAATGTAGTTTCAATTGGATGTTGCATGCTTCTTTACTTTCTGTCATGTACATTTGTGTAGTGTTGAGCATTTTTATTTCTGAGTGTGTTGCAGTAATCCCTTTGTTTGGTTTGTCTCTCAGAGTATGCTTAAAAAATATTACCAAGCTTGTTGGAAGCTTCAAGATGAGAGGTTATGAAACCATGAATGCCAATGTCAGAAGCCATTATCAAGCAACTTAAGAGGATTAGGTTTATTGTTGATAGATTTAGTTTTTATTGAACCATACAGGAATCACTGTTTATATAAATACACATGCTTCATCATCAGTTTGTCAATAAGCAAACATACTTTTCTCGTCATCAGAATATATTAAACTTTATTCTTTGCTTATTTTTTAATGGTCAGGTTAATATTAACTTTTCTACCCATGTGGCTTTAATGTTTATAAATAAATAATTAGAATGTTGAAGTCAACAAATTTGTATTCAGATTATTTTAGTGCTGGCTGTAGCTAATATGAAGTACCTCAAGGAGACAAGGAAACCATCCTCAAAGGAAGGCTTTTATATGTGCCACCAGTTTACTTGGTAGAGGATGCAGGTAGTGATTCTACAAGCTAAAATAGAGTTTCCTTAGCATTTTTTTTTTCCTGGAAATCATTCTTTTATAGAGGAGCACAATAAATCATTCCCACTGGAATAAAGTAGAGTATATAGATTTACCTAGATGTGATTACTAGGTGCTCAAAGAAATTAAGGTAGCTTAATCCACATCTCTTTGAAAAGTAGAAAGCAAAGTGAAATATACAATTTCTTTAGTAACTACACATAGAAATTATGTCTTTCCTGTAAACAAATAGTATGAATTGGACTGTCTGCTTTGCTTTCCCTATAATATAGATAAGGCTGGGACTAACTGACAAAAACCTCATTTTAATTTTTGGGCAAACATTTTAAAGGCAGTGGATCAGAAAAAATTCTATTTTTAGATAGCCACTAATGTTAAATTAATTGTATTGCTTCTTAAGTCTGTTCTCACTAAATTTTAAGAACTCTGAAAAAATTGAAAAAAAAGTACAAAATTTTGATTTAAAAAAACTGAGCAAGACACATGGCATTTCATGAAAAAATGGTTATGTAATAAATAAGCTCATAAACCTAGGAAAAAAAATTTAATTCCACTCATAATAAGAAAGTGAAATTTAACCTACTGGTTAACCTAACTGGGTAGTACAGAAATAAATTTATATTTAACACTCAATTGATTTTCAACAGAAGTACCAGGCTAATTCAATGAGGAAAGAATAGCCTTTTTAACTAATGGGGCTGAGACAACTGGCTATCTACATGCAAAATAATGAAAACGCCAGGTACATAAATTAATTTAAAATGGATGATAGGTTTAAATGTAAGAGGTAAAAATGTCAAACTCTCACAGTAAAACACAGGAGTATATCTTCATGCCTTAGATTAGGCAACGGTTTCTGAGACTAACACCTAAAACACAAGCTACAAAAGCAAAAGTAAATAAATTGCACCATAATAAAATTAAAAATAATACAACTTTTATGCTTAAAAAGATACAATCAAGAAACTTAAATGACAACAAACATAATGGGAGAAAATATTTTCAAATTATATTCTGGTAAGTGTTATGCACAGAATATATAAAGACTTTCTGATTCAACAATAAGGACAATCTCAGTTTTAAATGGCTAAAGAATGTGAATAGACACTTCTTCAAATAAGATATACAAAGGCAATAAGAACATGGGAAAATGTTCAACATCATCAGTAAATAGAAAGACAATTCAAAACTACAACAAGACAGTACTTTACACCCATAACAGTGGCTAAAATAAAATAAAAAAAAAAAATCAAAGAACAAGTTTTAACAAGTATGTGGAAAATGGAATCCTTATACATTGCTGGTGGGAAATTGAAATGCTGGAAAGGAAATTGGCTGTCTGGAAAGGTTTGGAAAGGAATGTGGCAGTTCTTCAAAAGGCTAAACATAGAGTTAACATATGTTTCATTAATTCCCTTCCTAAGTACATATAACACGGCCACACAGAAACCTGTACACAAATGTTTATAGCAACATTTTGCAAAGCAGTCAAAAACTAAAAACTACCTGTATCTCCATCAACTAATTAATGGATAAACCAGATTATTGTAGCATATTATTCAGCCATAAAAATGAATAAAGTACAGAAAAGTGATACAACGTGAATGGACTTTGAAAATATTTTGCTAAGTGAAAAATGCCAGGTAGATAAAGCTACATATTTATCATCTTATTTATATGAAATATCCAGAATAGGCATGTTTTATTTTATTTGTTTATAGAGACAGAAAATTGATTGGGAGTGGCAAAGGTGGGGTCAGGGGAACAGGAAGTGACTGCCAGTGGGTTTGAGATTTTTTTTGTGAGATTATAAAAATATCCTAAAATTAAATAGTAGTGGTGGTTACACAAATACATGAATACTTTAAAAAACTATTATTAACTATTAAATTGTACACTTCAAATGGGTAAATTTTATGGTGTGTACATTGCATGTCAATAAATGAATTGACATCTGCTTAGAATTAAAAATGGTACAATTTTCTTGAAGGGAATTGGACAAAAGCTAAGTAAACTATATTGGAATCTATATTTTTACCCAAAAATCTCAATTGTAAGAATGTGCTCTGAAGAATCACATCAATATATTGGCAGAAATAACATATTTGCAGGTCATTTATGGTGACATTATTTGTAGCAGCAAACCATTGGAAACCTTCTAAACACCCATATATTTGTGGTCTAAATGGATATGAATGGTATGTAAATAAATAAAAGAGCACATATGAAAGCAGGTATGTTTCAGGTATAAAAAAGATCTTTGTGAATTGACATGAAGTGATTTGTAGGATATATATTTGGTTAAGTACAAAGTAACGTAATATAATGTATTTATTATGCTGCATTTTGTGAAAGAAAAAAAGACACTCACAAATTTGGTTCAGATCCTAGCTCTACCATATACTTCCATTGTAGCCTTTGGTGAGTTTCTTGCATTCTCTTTCACAAATTGAAATGGTTTAAATACAAAATAACTTAAAAATGACTTGTACTCCAAAACTCTATCCAATACTGATATTTTGAAAAGTTATTTGGCTACTATAGATGGACTATGGAAATAAGATAAAGAGCAGTTTTTTCTCAATATTCCTAGGATAGTACAGTGATTATAAGAAAAATCAATATTCTTTCAAGATATCCCAAACATTATTTGTATATGTCAAACAAATAAATGTAAGTAATTACTTTTCTATTGTTGAATATTGAAAACCATCATAAGAACTGTCGCCTTTACCCCAAACGTTATTTAAGAACAACTAGAATGATCAGAAGTCTATAAATTTGAGTGAAGCTTCACGGCAGTAATACATTTTGAAAGTCTTCTATTCTTCCCTTATAAAATAATATAAAGCCTGTGAAATGCAGGTGGGGGAATCACACTGTTTGGAAATAATTCTTTGGTGATTAGAACTGTTACTCAAACTTTGCTTCAGTTTAAAAGAAGCTTAAGATCAATCAGCAATAAGACAAGTCTACAACTTCAAAGGATGATTTGCAAACCTGAATATCAAGTAGATAGCACAATTGGAAGAAATGACCTTGGAAGAATAAAGAAGTACCTGATTTACCTGTCAATGTGGGTCAAGCCAAGAACTAAAACAGGACACTCCTTTCAAAGTCCCAAAAGATTTTATTCACAAATAATTCCTATCAAATGCCAAAATATGTTTAGCTACATTTGCTGGAAAATAATGTATCTAGGTAAAGGAATGCAAAATATGAATGATAATTTTAGCAACAAATATGCATTTACTTGATATTTCTATTTTAAAATATCTTTGTGTGCCAACTATTTAAACTATTTTTAAATACCTGCCCATTACTTTTAGCAGACTTCTAAGTGATTTAAATAATCATCTCATTTAAATATTCCATATTAATTAGAAAGAAAATACGATCCTTATTTTACAGATGAAGAAATCTAGTTTCAGTGGAATTAAGTAATTTCCAAAGTTTGAAAAGATAGTAAATGCAACGACCCATATATACAGAGTTTTTATGACTACAACCCAAATGCTTAAGATTTTATTGTACATATGTATAGCATAATACATTATAGTATACCAGAAATGGCCATTTTATAAAAAATTTGATACATAAAGTAGTGCTATCTCTTCAAAAAGATTTTTTTTTTTTAATAATTAAGTATGGCTCATTCTCCCTAGTTTTCTGGACATGAGTGTATGAGGACATTTATTAATTCATTTTCTAAAATAAAATAATGTATTGAGGATAACTCATTTTAAAATATCTTAATAAAATTATATAGATGCAAATTACACATTAATCCAAACACATATTCTTTGTACAGAGATTCAAAAATATTAGTAACATATTTTCTAAATTTTTTGTTTAAGCTTTTAGATTCTTCTTATTAAAGATCAGATAACAATGATCAGTGTGGCCAAGGTCTGATCCTATATAAATTCCTTTTCTCTTGGTTCTTGTTTAATTCTGGTTCATATTCTACATTCTATATGGTATCTGTATAACTACCCACCTTTTTCCCTCGGATGCCAATGTCTTTTAGAGTCCTTTGAAATAGATGGATATCGTCCCTAATATTTACATTTGCATAAGTCCACATTTGCCTTTTAAATACAACATTTCTGTCCTGCACTGTATTTTCTTTCTTCTTCTTCTTTTTTTTGAGACAGAGTCTCACTCTGTTGCCCAGGTTGGAGTGCGGTGGGCGATCTCGGCTGACTGCAAATTCCGCCTCCTGGGTTCAAGCGATCCTCATACCTCAGCCTCCTGAGTAGCTGGGATTACAGGTGCTTGCCACCACGCCCAGCTAATTTTTTGTATTTTTAGTAGAGACAGGGTTTCACCGTATTAGCCAGGATAGTCTAGAGCTCCTGACCTCATGATCCGCCCTCCTCGGCCTCCCAAAGTGCTGGGATTACAGGCATAAGCCACCACACCTGGCCTGCACTATATATATAGTGTGTGTATATATATATATATATATAGTGTATATATATATAAATAGTGTTTATATATATATTTTTAAAGCTGATGGTATATCATTTGTGTTAGCTCTTGGAATAAGTTTTTTCTGTCCTGCTGTTCTTTGTGACCAGAGTGTTTGTTTCTCCTATTTGCTCTGATCTCCATTTTCTAACCCTTTTAACACAGAGAATTATATTATTCTGTTTCATTTAAAAGAATAGCAATTTGTTTTTTAGGGCATAAACTGAAAGCAAAATGTATTACTTCATAATACTCTGAGAAATCCTGCACATACCCTTACACCTTACATACCTCCAGAGCCTCATCATATGCTGGTTGCTGTCCCTCATTATCTTAGATTGAATACACAATGTGTCTCATGACATGCCAACACATACTAAAGTCAAACGGTGTGTTGGCATTCTGGGTAGTGTTCTAAGGCAGTGTAAGAAAAGGACCTTGAAGTAACTTGGACATTTATGAGTAACAGATTTGTCAGAAATCATCTAAAAAAATATTCAATTATATTCATAAAATATTGAGATGCTAAGGAAGCACTATGCAATACATTTTTCTGTGATAATGAAAATGTCCTATATTCTTATTCATTTGGCAGATGCTAACCTCATGTAGCTTCTTTTATGACTAGAGTGACTGAGGAACTAAATTTTTATTATTATTTAATTTTAATTAATTTAAATTTAAATAGCCGCATATGGTTGTTGGCTATGCTATTAAACCGTGCAACACCAAGGAATCTCATACATTGCTTCAACTAACTCTCAATTGACAGGTTTATGTAGGGATCTACCTTAAGTTTTTAAAGTGTTCTCAATCATATATACACACACACACACATATATCAGTATTGAAAATCTTTACTATATTTTTCTTTTTGCAGTGACAGAGGTTGCAATTGAACGGTTTGCAATTGCATATAAAATAATGGGTAATTCTTTTTTTTTTTTTTTTTTTTTTGAGGTGGATTCTTACTCTGTCACTCAAGCTGGAGTGCAGTGATGCAATCTTGGCTCACTGCAGCCTCCACCTACCAGGTCCAAGTAATTCTCCTGCCTCAGCCTCCCGAGTAGCTAGGATTAGGTGCACGCCACCACGCTAGCCTAATTTTCTGTATTTTTAGTAGACACTGGGTTTCTCCAAGTTGGCCAGGCTGGGCTGTAACTCCTGACCTCAAGTAATCCACTTGCCTCAACCTTCCAAAGTGCTGGGATTACAGGCAATTTTTAAAACTTGTATTTCACCAAATACATGTTCCAGGAGATATGAACATCAGTTTTAAAAGAAATAAATGTCAGCAATATTTTTCCTTCTAAAATGTATTGTAATGTGTGCATGTAAGCAATTATAAACACATTTTGTGTTTTTATTAATGTCACAGAAAAGCACAAAAATAACAAAAAAAATTATAAAACAAGTCAAGTGAAGTAAACAAATATTGATACATATATTAACATATGTATATTATCTCCTCTCATAACTTAAAAATATATATTTATGATAATCGAAATGTGTTACATATAGATCTTGTATAGTATGCAGGCTAATTTTTCATGAATCAATGAATAACAAAGACAGTTTCCAATGTAGGAGAGAAACATTTGGACCTTAAACTGCATTTTCAAAGGAAATGTCAGAACAAACTAAATTGATACTTGGATTTTAAAGGGCCTAGTCAAGATCAACATTTTTCTCTGTAGAATTGTGATCTTAATTAATAGATAGATATTAAATAAAATACAATGAAAAAATACAACCATAAATCTACAATCATGCGTCACTTAACAACAGAGATAAAATGTGAGAGACACATCTTAAGGCAATTTAATATTTGAGAGAACATATATAGTGTGTACTTACACAAACCTAGATGCTATAGACTGCTGTACACCTAGGCTATATAGTAAAGCACATTGCTCCTAGACTGAAAATCTGTATGGCATATTACTACTGAATAATGTGGGCAATTGTAACAAAGTGGTATCTGTACATCTAAACATATGTTAAGTATACAAAAGGTACAATAAAATATTGTATTAGAATCTACTGGACCGCTGTCATATATGTGGTCCATTGTTGATGGAAATGTAGTTATGGGATGCATGAATGGATTTGAAGGCAGTGGTTTAGGAGGAACTAATATTCACTGTTCTAAAGTGAACAGTGTTCTAAAGTGTTCATCCCTGGGCTAAAGTGGAAATTCTCATCCGCTTGAAAGTTGAGATCTACAGTTTCTTTCCCCTAGCCCAAGGCTCAGAAGTGAGGAAGAAAAAGAGCTGAACTCATAAGAGGTATGGCTCTTAAACAGAGGTGATCCGAAAATAAACCTAGGCCCAAGCTTTGGCTCACCAACCTGGTATCTCATTTCTCCTTTTTATGGGAAAAATGAATAAGAGTGGGCACAAGGCCAGAAATATTTATATTAGATATATAATATATATCTAATGAATAAGTGGGTATTACTGGATGAATTCTGTACCCCAGAAAATATATGTTGAAGTCCTTATCCCCAGTAATTCAAAACGTAATCTTATTTGGAAATAACGTCTTTAAGGAAGTAATCAATTTAAAATGAGGCCACTAGGCTAAGCCCTAATCCAATGACTGTGTCCTTATAAAGGGGAAATTTTGACACAGAAACAGACATGCAGAGAGAGAATAATACGTAAAGAAGAAGGGAGAAAGCCATGTGAAGATCACAGTTTTGTTGCCACAAGCCAAGTAATATCTTGGAGCTTCCAGAATCTAGAAGAGGAAGGGAAGTTTCAGAGGGAGCATGGTCCAACACCTCAATTTTAGGCTTCTAGGCTGCAGAACTGTGAGACAATAGAAGTATTTGTTACAGTACCCCCAAGGAACTAACACAGATCATAAGCTTCCCCTGCAATAGTGAAAAATCACACTTTCTGATTTATAAACAAAGCAAGAACAAAGCTATTCAAGATGAAAATGTTGATTTTTGGGAGCACTGCAATCAAGAGGACATGAATATTTTTAAAAAAGTTCACTTCGGGTTGCTTTGATCCTTCTTTTTGCTGCCATGCTTTCATAAAATTTTGGAAAGGATCTTAATAAACACAGCCTGGTCTCTTGCCTACCCCTCATG
Source organism: Homo sapiens (assembly GCF_000001405.40). Lineage (NCBI taxonomy): Eukaryota > Metazoa > Chordata > Mammalia > Primates > Hominidae > Homo > Homo sapiens. The sequence goes on along the minus strand of NC_000004.12, from coordinate 135,330,240 downwards.
TAACTACTATGATTACATGTTCGCCTGTGGAAATGCTAGAAGGAGTCAGCCCTACCAGAATGGCAGACTAACCCCTTAAATGCTTGAAATACTTTACATAGAGCTAAATTAGACTGCTCTGGTCCATGGGTAGTTTCCAAAGAGATTCTGGGAAGACCCAAGAACAAATGTCTTATCTTTGTATCTCATTAAATAAAAATAACCAAAAGACAGAAATGGAAGAAATAAGGGGAACTTTGAGGATCCTAATACCCATAGTCTATATTTATTCTCTAGTATCTCACCTTCTAAAGAGCCCTCCTATCACCCTCGATGTCCCTTTCTGGTTATTAAGCTGTTGCTTTAGCCTTCTTCAAACTAAAGAGAGTATTTGTCGGCACATATTGTCCCTGCTTTCAAATCTCCAATTACTATACAACTGAATTCCATCTGGCCAGTGCCATCATCACTCCATTCAAACTATTTATAGAAATGACCAATTATTTCAATATTTTCAAGTAATCGTTCCTTACTACAGCAAATAAGATATGTTGGGATCTATCCCTAATTACATTTTCAACCTTATTTTGTTCCATCTTCTTTCTTACCCCTTAAAATTAAATGTACTTCAATCCTGTTTGCTTTATTTAATACACCAAAATCTTTTCTGTCTTAAGACCTTATATATTTGGCTCACTCTCCCTAAAAAGGACTTTATATAGCAGGGTTCTTCTCAAACTTTGGATTCAGCTTGTATTGCAACTACCTCAGTGAGTTCTACTTCATCACCACATAAAAATTTGGATATCTCTTTTTATAAACTATCACTGTTCTTTAATAATTTCCTTCAGCGTGTTTACCACAACCTGAAGTTATAATCTTATGTCTGTTCTTATTTGTATTTCCTGACTTTTATTATATTGTAAACCACAAAAGTGCAGAACATATGTCTATTTTTTCAACAACAATATAACCTGAGTACATACCTCACTGGAAGGTACATGATGAAGTCATAAATATTTAGTAACTAAACAACTGTCTATTTCTTCTAGCTGCCATCAATATTTGTCAATTCTATTAACTCCCATCTCTGTCTTGCTGAATTACAAACTTATAATTTATAGGGGAGAAAATTCTGTCCAGCTTGAATCAGATATGTGTGCCCTGATATCAATATGCCATGGCCAAAGGGGCATTTTACATAGAAGGGTTATGGCCCTCCTTTATGTGTTAGGTTCTTTCAGGGAAGAAAGATATGTTCTTGACTACAATATATCCACAAAGCCTAATTATTACATAAGACCAAATATAATCTGGAAAGGTTCTATAGTAAAAGATCAAACATTGGCAATACCAATGCTGTTGTTAAAATAAATATTGGTTTGGACAATATTCTTCTAAATGTGAAGAGCTTATATAATTAATATAAATAATTTTGCGGAAAGGATCTCATGTATATTTCAATTAGAAGTGGAAATAAACTTCCTTCACTTACTAAAACTTATTTTTCTATCTGGTTGATGATGGTTCCAGTAGGATTTATGGTGGTGGATGGGGCGGAGGTACACATTTAAAGTTACTAACAAAAAGCCATTACAAATGAGAACTGGATCTGAGAGCAAGGATGCAATTGTTCAACACACTGCTTAATAGGAAACAGTAGAGAAGCTCTTTCTGTTAGCAGGTTCCATATAAACTAATGGAGCTTGGGACTTTTGTCTTTTTCATGATCCCCTGACCTCAAACAACATTTACAGAAACTCAGGTTTATGTCGATAAATGTACAACTATCACATTTTTGAGGGAACCAGACAGCATCTGTCTCCTTTTTTCCTTCTCCAAATTTTTCTATCTTCTTTATGCTGGTGGATATCTTACTGCACATCATATCCTGTGGTATAAATGATATAGCTAGACAGATAGAACTAGAGAAATATAGACATAGGGAGAGGCACAGCTATAAATATAACTATGAGAATAGATATATTCCAGAAATCCCCTAAGTTCTCTTCAACAAAACTTGACCTAAACTGCTAGCTCAGAAATGGCTCACCTTAAAATTCCTGTTTTAGAAAAAAAAATAAAGGTTAATATTCATTGTTTCTGTCTGCATTCCAATTCTCCATATGGCAGAAAGTATTTCCAATTGAATGTGGATGTCACATAAAATTATGCAAAACTCTGTTGATATAGACAAATATTTTACCTTTTTCATAGATATGTACAATATTTAAAAATATATTTTAAAATTAAAATGTTCCATTTTGTATTTGAATACTTTATTATTTTTTCCTTTAATAGAAAATAGCTTTTAAAATGTGGTTTTCTATTGCAAGGTAAAGTAAAAACAGATGAATCAATTATTTATTTTTTATTTTTGCAAAACTGAATAAATACAACTGTTAAATGATAATTTGGCTATCTACATAAATTCATTTGCCCAGTAACTTCTATATCTTGAAGATATGCTATCTACATATTTTGTTTTTTAAAGTGCATTCTGGTCAAATATTTTTGCAAATGCTTTCCTGTGCTCAGACTAGAGGTGTAATAAATCCCTAACATCCATTTCTAACATCTTATCTTATACCTTTATTCTTCCCATTTCCTACATCCAGAAAATTTATCCAGCATAACTGGAGACTGTTATTAGGTCTAGGAAACACTCATGGATCCTTGTTGCTACAAGCTCCTTCTTCCTTCCTTGAATTCTTTACTATGTTTTACAATATTTATATGATTCTTCATCTGCATGTCTTTGTGATATATTTAAATGCCTCTATCATTTTGGTAACATTTGAATGGAGTGAGCAACTCCATATTTTCCATAGTGTCATGCAAAGAGAACACACTGAATATTATGTTATATTATAGAATTATGTGCTTATTAAGATACATACTTGAAAGTCATGATGTTTTCCATTACATATTAATTAGGAATATTATTTCAAATAATATCTTAAATGTATATTTAACTGCAACTTATCATTCCTAAGCCTGTATCTACATCAACCATAATAAAATCAAATAGGTTTTAAAAATTAAATTCTCAGAGTTTTCAAACTATTTAAAAAGAGCTCATGTGAAAGGACTTATTGAGATAATTGCATATTCAATAGATAATTAAATGTTAACTAAAGACATTTAGTTTTTAGCAATAATTTAAAAATATATTTATTAACCTAGGTTGTAATTTGCATTTGCAAGTTAAAATTATTGACAATTAACTTGGGTTGCTTTACTTCAAAGCATCTTAAAGTGTATTTTACACTTGAACTTTCCAGATAGGAAGAGTCCAATACAATAATATGTATGCTGTATGCCTTCTCATTGTTGGAAATAGTATGTATTTAAACAGACTGAAGTAGAAAAAGTTCAAAAATCTATATTGAATTAACACCTGTGTTGAAAACCTTATTGAAGAAAAACAGCAGAAGGAATGAAAGTGAGAGGTCAAATTTATAAACAAAAGGCACTTCCAGACCTAGAAACTATGGTTTGTTTTAAGATCAGTAAAGCAAGAATTTAACCTTGCCACCACTGCAGTTTAAGTTATATAATTACATTCTTTAAAGCTGACATTTTCACCTTAGTAGGTATAATAAGGCCATGCAGATGCAGGCTAAAACCAGTAATTTCAGCGTTCTGCTTCTTCTATGTCGATGGTAATAAGATGTGGCAGTGAAGCATGCATGAACCTCCATTTAATTGTCAGCACAGTCTTTCATTTAAACAACAAAATAGTTAGCAGTAAGCTTATAAATGTGGAAAGCATGCAAAACAGAAACGGTAGGTCTGTTAACTTTAAAATCACCTCACACAGAAAAGGTCAAGCATTTAAAATGTGTTTCTACTACCCTTTAAAGACAGTAAAACTAATAGAAAATACATGACTGGAAAATATAACTGGATTTTTCTTGGTAGAGAATAAAAGGAAGTTGCTAAAACATCTTCAAATGTATACATTTTAAAATGTTGAACATACAGTGTAGAAAAATGTGAGAAATCATTTAAACTTCAAATCAACTAGTAGTCAGTACTACTTTATGCAGACTTTCTTTTAAATTGGTAAATTTTATTTTTAGGCCTAAAAGTAATTGGAAAACAAGTGTTGAAAAATCAGCTATTGTTAACATTAAGAATATAGTTATGGTTCTAAAATTTTTGTTTTATTTTTGAATGGATCATATATTTATCTTTTTCCAAATTCAGAAACACTATTTAAAAAGTCTCCATTTAGAAGGCCTGCACCATTTCCCATTTCCCCTTCACTTCCCAAACCTATAGGTAACTTCTTTTTTTTTACTTCCTCATTTATTTTTTCAGAAAATACAAGAACAAATTTATTCTTAAAATATTTTACTCAAATAGTTTAATATGTCCTAAAAACACTTTATGAAATAGGATAGAAAACTACATCTCTAACTTGTCACTTAAAAATATATCAAAGCACTAGAATTAGGGAATAATCTTGTGTTACTGTCTTCACATAATAGATCAGGATTTATTTGGTTTATATTCTTGGTTGCTTTTTTTTTTTTTCCCTAAGTAATCAAAAGCTTGGGGCTCACTCCAGGAGCCACTTGTCTTCCTATCCTACTCCCAGAATGATCTTGACTAAATGCTGATAAACCATGTATCTGTATTGTCAGACCAATTGTCCCTTATGAAATCGTTAGACAAGAATATCTAACTGTGTAATTGACACCTCCACAGTTTAAACTTAGCATATGCAAACTGAGCTGATATTCTCCCCCAAACCAACACCACTTCCAGCCTTACTAATTTCAGTTTCTACCAACTAAATTTGTCTTGTTATTCACGTTCCTAAACCTTGTTGTTATCTTTAACTTCTTTCTTTCTCTCCCACATCAGACCCTGCTCTGTCTACCCTGGCTCCTGTTCTCTGCACTCTCCTCCTCCTAAGTTCCTTATAATTAAGACATTCACTCTTTTCTAGCCACAGTATCTTCCTTGCTGCTCCTTCACTCCAGGTATATTCCCAACTCAAGGCACTGACAATTAGAATCCCCTCAGTTTGGAATACAATTTTCCTAGATATCTTCATAGTAAGCCACTGCACTTTGCTCATATGTTATTTAAATCCTGTAGGCTCTTCCTTAAACAAACATCCAGAATTTGACCATCTGTCACTATTCTAGCCCACACCACAGTTTTATCACTGTCTTCTGTTATTGTAATTATTACTATTGTTTGTATCCTTGACTACATTTCTTATATTTTCAACATAGCATTTGATTGATCCTATTAAAATATACATCAGATTGTATCAGAATAGAAGTCAAAGTTCTTTCTCTGAATTACAAGGCCCTGTGTAATCTGACCCCCATGACTTCCCTGAAGTCATCTACTGTGCTACCCACCCGACACTCTGTCAGCTCTATCAGTCTCTGTGCAGTTTCTTCAGGTAAATACCTTTTCGCTTCAGAGTATTTGTGCATGCTGTTCACTCCTGTTTGAAATATCTTCTTTCAGTTCCTTTGGACTTTTACATATTTTAATGTATATATTTTTTACTCATTCTTTAATTTATATATGTAAAACAAAAAATATATGCATTAGAATATATAAAAACCCAAATCAACCAAGAAAAATTTATATGATAAATAGATATGATCTCAATAAATATATGGCAATCAAATTCTAACAAATAATAAATTCACACATACATACTTTTTTGGTCCTCAACATTAGAATTAATTCTAATATGCCGTAATTTTGTTATCCCCTCCACACTACAATATCTCCAGGGCCAAGAAAAGTGCCTGTTACCTGACATTCAATAAATATTTATTGAATCAAGGATTTTACATAGAAATGTGTATTTTTTTTTTTTTTTTTGAGACAGAGTCCTGCTCTGTTGCCAAGGCTGGAGTTCAATGGCGTGATCTTGGTTCACTGCAACCTCTGCCTCCTGGGTTCAAGTGATACTCCTGCCTCAGCCTCCTGAGTAGCTGGGGTTACAGGCATGCACCACCAAACCCAGCTAATTTTTTGTATCTTTAGTAGAGATGGGGTTTCACCATGTTGGTCAGGCTGGTCTCGAACTCCTGACTCGTGATCCACCCATCCTGGCCTCCCAAAGTGCTGGGATTACAGGCGTGAGCCACCGCGCCCAGCTGAAATGTGTATTTACATTTATATAGAGATAAAACATATTAATATATTTTATTATTAGCTAATCTGTAAAATTAGCAAAAAAATCCTTCCTTAAAACCTTCCAAGAAAATTATTCATCTACATTTTGCAAAATCATTAATGAAAAATTCAAAATCTGTTCCAAAAAATCTATATTCTCACATTAAACAGAAAGAGCCAATTTCTTTTAAGATATAAACCCATCAAAGGTTTATATTATCCTAGTGGCTGATTCAAAGGGCTTTAGAACTGAGCCTTTGTTATTCTGTATATGTTAAATAGCTTTGCACATAACACAAAATCATCAAAAAACTTTACCTGAAAAATGTTATTTGTAAAATATTGCAAAAATGCAGAACTAAGTTTTATTCCTTTAATCATTTATGAAAAATAGCCTAAAACAATGACCTTTTGTTGTTTATTTTTTATGTCTTTGCTGAAATGGTTTATGAAACACTGACAAAAAAAGAATTTTGAAAAGGTCAGTGACGTATCGCAACACTGTGCCTGCATAATTAACACAACTTTCTTTTTATATCTTGATGGGATATCTTGGCTGTTAGTTGATAATAACAACATGCTGAGATTAGGAAATAGTCAAGAGAAAGTTATGTTCCAATTTGAGATACTGTAGATCATTTTGATCTGCCAACATAGTAACTGAGTTCATTAGAAGCTGACAATTATTTGATGACACTGAAATCTTAGCAGCTATTGAAATAGCAATAATACTAGCACTCGTTGAATAATTAATGAGAAGATAGAAGTTTGCAAATTTCTGGAATTATGTAGCATAGAAATTTATCATTTAGCAACATAGTCTACTTTTTCAATTATATTCCTTTTTATTTTATTTATTTAATTAAAATAAATTTTAACTTTTAGATTCAAGGAGTACATGTGCAAGTTTATTATCTGTTTGTATTGTGTAATGCTGAGGTTTGGGGGTACAAATGATCCTACCACCCAGGTACTGAGCATAGTGCCCAGGAGTTTGTTTTTCAACCCTTCATCTCTTCCCTCCCCCTCTTGTAGTCCCCAGCTTCTATTCTTGCCATTTTTATGTCCATGAGTACCCAACGTTTAGCTCCAATTTATAAGTGAGAACATGTAGTATTTGGCTTTCTGTTCCTGCATTATTTCACTTAGGATAATGGCCTCCAGCTTCCTCCATGTTGTAAAGGACATAATTTTGTTCATGTTTTATGAATGTGTAGTGTTTATGGTGTATAAGTATCACATTTTCTTTATCCAATCCACCATTGAAGGGCATCTAGTTTGATTCCATGTCTTTGCTACTATGAAAAGTGCTACAATAAACATGTGAATACATATGTCTTTTTGGTAGAATGATTTGTTTTCTATTGGATATATACCCAGTAATGGGATTGCTGAATGGAATGGAAGTTCTAAGTTCTTTGAGGAATCTCCAAGCTGCTTTCCATGGTGGCTGAAATAATTTACATTCTCATCAACAATGTAAAAGCATTCCCATTTCTCTGCAGTCCTGCCAACATCTGTTGGTTCTGACTTTTCAATAATAGCTATTCTGACTGGTGTGAGATGGTATGTCTCTATGTCTCTGTAGTTTTGATTTGCATTTCTTTATTAATAAGTGATGTGGAGCATTTTTCATATGTTTGTTGGCTGCTTGTATCTCTTCCTTTGGAAAGTATCTGTTCATGGCTATTGTCCACTTTTAATGTGACTATTAGTTTTATGCTTGTTCCATTGTTCATTCTTTATAAATTCTGGATATTAGACATTTTGAAAGCATAGGTCTTGAATACTTTCTCCCATTCTATAGCTTGTTTTTTTGCTCTGTTGATAGTTTCTTTTGATATGCAGAAACTTTTTAATTTAATTCCGTCCCATTTGTCAATTTTTGTCTTCGTTTTGAGGACTTAGTGATAAATTATTTGCCAGGCTAATGTCCAGAATGGTGTTTCCTAGATTTTTTGTCTAGGATGCTTACATTTCTAATTTTAATCCATTAAAGTTAATTCTTGTATATGGTGAAGATAGGGGTCCAGTTTCATTCTTCTGCATATGGCTAGCCAGTTGCCCCAGAACCATTTACTGAATAGAAACTCCTTTTTCCATTGCTTATTTTTGTTGACTTTGTCAAAGATCAGATAGATGTAGGTTTGTGGCTTTATATCTGGATTCTCTATTCTGTTTCATTGGTCCACAAGTATTACCATGCTGTTTTAGTTACTATAGCCTTACAGTATAGTTTGAAGTCATGTAATGTTATGCATCCAGCTTTTTTTATGTTTGATTAGGATTGCTTTGGCTATTCAGGCTGTTTTTCAGTTCCATATGAGTTTTTGAATAGATTTTTCTAGTTGTGTTGAAAAATGACATTGGCAGTTTGATAGGAATAGCATTTAATCTGTGATTAGCTTTGAGCACTATGGCCATTTTAATGGTATTGATTCTTCCAATCCATGATAATGGAATATTTTTTTCATTTATTTGTGTCATTCCTAATTTATTTTAGCAGTGTTTTGTGATTCTTCTTGGAGAGCTCTTTTACCTCCTTGATTAGATATATTACTAGGTTTTTAAATTTTTTTGTTGCTATTGTAAATGGGATTGCATTCTTGATTTGACTTTCAGCTTGAACATGATTAGTGTATAGAAATGCTATTGATTTTTATACATTGATTTTGTATCCTGAAACTTTACTGAAGTCATTTTAAATCCATACCAGGAGACTTCTGGCAGAGTCTTTACTATTTTCCAGGCATATGTTTATATCATCCACGAACAGAAATAGTTTGACTTCTTCTTTCCTATTTTGATACTTTTACTTATTTCTCTTGCCTGATTTATCTGGCTAGCACTTTCAGTACTAGGAACAGTACTGTGGTAAATAGGAGTGGTGTGAATAGGTATCCTTTGTCTTATTCCATTTCTCAAAGGGAATGCTTCCAACTTTCACCTAGTTAGTATAATGGCTGTGGGTTTGTCACAGGTGGCTCTTATTATTTTCAAGTGTGTTCCTACAATGTTGTGAGAGTGAGACTCTGTTCCCACTCCACAAAAAGAATATCTATATTTAAGAAATGATGCACTAAATGTTTCCAAAATTCATGAAAACATGAGCATCTCCATAAGAACCAAAAATCAGATGAGCGATCACAGTACCTAGTTTTAATATCGAATCATGGAAAAGGGCACTGAATAGAATAGGAATGACAATTTTGTATTTCATACACCATGCCTCTCCCATCCTCTTTGCAGCATGGTATGTGGAGAGAGAATCTCTTTCTTTGGGGGAGAGACAGCAGAGTGATTACGGGACCTTGCATTGGAAATCAATGATATTCTGTTACAGTGGAACACAACACAGGGCAGAATTTAGCCAGTGCCCATGAAGGGAGCATTTAGACTAGCTCCATCCAGAGAAGAATTTTCCACTCCAGCAGTAGAATACTGATTTCTGGCTAGCTCTACCACCAGCAAACTAAAGTGCTCGGGGTCCTGAATAAATTCGAAAGGCACTATAGGCCACAAGAACTGCAGTCCTTGGGCAATCCCCGGTGCTGCACTGGGTTCAGATCTAGTAGACTCGGGTTGCACACCACCCACTGAGACACAAGCAGGGGTAGCCAAGGGTGTGCCTGCATCACCCGTACCCCAGCTCTAGGCAGTGTAACTTGGGAAGAGACTTCTATTGCCTGCAGAAAGGAAAAGAAATAGTAAAGAAGACTTTGTCTTACAACTTGGATGCCAGCTCAGCTACAGTCAAACAAAAGCACCAAAGTCCTGAAGCCCCAAATTCCAGGCTCTACCTCTTAGATGACATTTCTGACCTATGCTAGACCAGAAGACCACCCTCTGCCCTAAAAGGGCAGTCCTGGCAGGATTCACCATCTGATGACTAAATAGCTCTCGCGCCCTAAATAAACACCAGCAGTAGCCAAGCAGTAGCTGCCACAGGCCTTGGGCATAACCCAGTACTGTACTAGATTTAGCTATGATTCAGCACAATTCCAACTGTGGTGGTCACAGGAGTGCTCACGTTACCCCTTCCCCAAACTCCAAGCAGCCTAGCATAGACAGAAAGAGCCTCCATTTGTTTGGAGAATAGTGAGGAAAGAGAACAAGAGACGCTGCCTTGTATTCTAGGAAATTCTCCTGGACCTTACCCAAGCTCACCAAAGCAATACCTCTGTTTTGAGTTTGCAAGAGTCACAGTGTTACAGGGTTTAGAGTGCCTCCAGTGGAGATCTGAGTGCAATGACCAAAGACTTACATCAAAACACTCCATTCCCTTTGAAGACTTGGAAAGCCTCCTCAAGAAGGACAGGCACAGACAAGCCCAGATGAAAAGATTAGAATATTGAACTCTTTAATGCCCAGACATTTATGAAAATTGACAAACATCAAGAACATCCAGGGAAATGTGATCTCACCAAATGAACTAAATAAGGCAATAGTGACAAATTCTGGAGTGACAGATACGTGACCTTTCAGACAGAGAATTCACAATAGCTATTTTGAGCACACTCAATGAACTTCAAGATAGCACAGAGAAGGAATTCAAAATCCTATCTGAGAAATTTAATTAAGAGTTTGAAATAATAAAAAAAAAAAAAAAGCAGAAATTCTGGAGCTGAAAAATTTGACAAATTTATAAATGTACCAAAGACTTTCAACAGCAGAACTGATAAAGCAGAAGAATGAGACTGAAGAGTGAGACTGAAGACAACTTCTATGGAAATACACAGTGAGAGGAGAAAAAAAAGAATAAGACTGCAACATGCCTACAAGATCTAGAAAATAGCCTCAAAAGAGAAAATATAAAATGTGTTGGCCTCAAAAGGAGATAGACAGAAGGATTGGGGTGAAAAGTTTATTCAAAGAATAGCAGAGAACTTTCCAAACCTACAGAAACATATCGATAATTAATTATAAGAAGGTCACAGATCACCAAGCAGATTTCACCCAAATAAGACTACCTCAAGACATTTAATAACCATACTCCCAAAGGTCAAGGATAAGAAAAGGATTCTAAAAGCAGCAAGAGAAAAAAAAGGGGAACATATTAATAAGCTCCAAAAATTCTGGCAGTAGACTTCTAAGTGGAAACCTTAGAGTCCAAGAGAGAGGGGCATGACATATGCAAAGTGCTGAATCACAAAATAATATATCATAAATTATTACATTCAGTGAAAATATCATTTAAACATGAAAGAAAAATAAATACTTTCTCCAAGAAACAAAAACTGAGGGATTTTTTTCAACACCAGACTTAACCTATAAGAAATCTGAAAGGGTGCTCTTTAATCTAAAATAAAAAGAGCGTTAATGAGCAATAAGAAATTATCAGAAGATACAAAACTCACTGGTAACAGTAAGTATACAAATACAGAATAGTCTAAAACTATAATTATGGTGTGTAAACCACTTATATTTTGAATAGAAAGACTGAAAGATAAACCTGCAAAAATACTAACTACAAACGCCTTTTAAAAATATAAACAGTATAAAAATATAAATCCAACCACCAAAAGTACAAGACTGGGGGGAATAAAGTGTAGAATTTTTATTGGTTTTCTCTTTTCTTGTTTTGCAGTCACAGCTAAGTTGTTTAAAATGATTGGTTTAAGATGTTATTTTCAAGCCTCATGGTAACCTCAAATCAAAAAAATGTGAAACAGATATACAGAAAATAGAAAGCAAGGAAAATGACTTACACAAAGGAGGACAGAAAAAGGGGAAGAATGGAAGGAAGAAAAGACCAGAAAACAAATAACAAAATGGCAGCAGTAGGTCCTTACTTATCAATAATAACATTGAATGTAAATGGACTAAATTCTTCATTTAAAAGGTATAGAGTAGTTGAATGGATAAAAGTCTACAAGAAACTCACTTCACCCATAAATACATACACAGAGTAAAAATAAAGGGAAGGAAAAAGATAATCCATGCAAATGGAAATAAAAAAATAACAGGAGTAGCTATATTATAAAAGATAAAATATATTTCAAACATAAAGTATAGAAAGACAAAGAGGTTCATTATGTAATAAAAAAGGAGATAATTCTGCAGGAGGATATCACAGTTATAAATATATCTTCTCCCAAAACTGGAACACCAAGGTATATAAAGCAAATATTATTCGATCTAAAGTGAGAGACAGACCCAAATACAATAATGAGTGGAGACCTCAACATCCTATTTTAGGCACTGTGCAGTTCATCCAGACAGGAAATTAGCAAAGAAACATTGGGCTTAATCTGCAACATAGATCAAATAGTCCTAATAAATATTGACAGAAAATTTCATCCAACAGCTACAAAATACATATTCTTCTCTTAGCCCATGGATCATTCTCAAGGATAGACCACAAGTGAGGCCATAAAACAAGTTTTTTAGAAATGAAAAAAGTTTACACCTTATTAGACATCTTCTCTGAACGCAATGAAATAAAATTAGAAATCAGTAAGGAAAAAACTTTTGAAACTCTACAACGATGTAGAAATTAAACAATATGATCTTGAATGCTCAATGAGCGAATGAAGAAATTAAAAAGGGAATTTAAAAATTTCTGGAAAAAAATGAAAATGAAAACACAATATGCCAAAACCTATGGGACATAGCAAAACTAGTATTAAGTGGATAGTTTATAGCAATAAGTGCCTACATAAAACAAGAGAAAAACTTCAAACAATCCAACAATGCATCTTAAAGAAGTAGAAAAACAAGAGCAAAACAAACTCAAAATTGGGAAAAGAAAATAGTAAGAATAAGTGCAGAAATAAATGAAATTGAAATAAAAAATAATAAAAGATAAAGAAGACAAAAAAGTTTGTTTTTTTGAAAATATAAACAAAAATGACAAACCTTTAGCCAGACTAATTAAGAAAAGAAGACCTATATAGATAAATCAAAGATGAAAAAGGAGACATTACAACTGATATAGCAGAAATTCAAAGGATTATTAAAGACTTCCATGAGCAACTATGTACCAATAAATTGGAGAACCTAGAAGAAATAAATTATCAGACACATACAATCTACTAAGATTGAACTATGAAGAAATCGAAAACCTGAAAAGACCAAAAACAAAAAACAAGATCAAATTTAGTAAGAAGTTTTCCACCAAAGAAAAGCCTGGATTGTTATAGTACGTAGCTAGTAAGACATGAGCAGGGCAGGAGGGCTCCCCACTCAACCACCAGAAATGTCAGGTGACCATCAGATGATGGTCCAGCAGTTGTTAACTCTCTCTCTAAAATAATAATTGCTTACAAGCAGCGCCAGGGAAAGGCAGTCTCCCAGTAGAGAGAAAACACCCAAAACTGGTGATCAGCAGCTTCCTAATAAGATCTTAGGAGTTGGGCGAGTGGGCTCAAGCATGATCATTAAGAGGCAAAGTGATGGAGTTTAAATGGTATCATCACCTTCCTCTAGGAATTCTAGACCAGCAAGTGAAGAACGCTTCAAGTAAGCATGTGTACAACTCCAGCAAACACACTGAACATGCTCTCCGCACAAGTGCTAGCAGGCCACTGAACATGCAGACAGCCCACGCCAAGGGAAGAATCAGAGAAGTAATGCAGGATCTTGGAAGTACGCCAACGTATAAAACCCCAAGTCAAAAGGTCAAACTGTGCTCTTGATCTCTCAAGTTGCCCACTTGGCCCTCTTCCAAGGGTACTTTACTTCCTTTTATTCCTGCTCTACAACTTTTTAATAAACTTACACTCCTGCTCTAAAACATGCTTTGGTTTCTCCTTCTGAGTCTTTCTTCTGAGGAAGAAATAATTGAAGTTGCTGCAGATCTGTATGGATATAGATTTGCTGCCAGTAACGAGATCTGATGGTTTCACTGCTGAATTTTATCAAACATTTAAGGAAGAACTGATACCAATCCTGCTCAAACTATTGCAAGATGTATAAGATTAGGGAATACTTCAAAACTCATTTTAGGAGGACAGTATTACTGACATCAAAAATCAAACAAAGACATAAGAAGAACAAAACAAAACTACAGGCCAGTATCTGATGAACATTGATGCAAAATTCCTAAACAAAACACTAGCAAATTGAATTCAACAACATATTAAAATGATCATTCATCATGACCAAGTAGAATTCATCCCAGGAAGGAAAGAATGATCTAACATATGCAAATCAATCAATGAAGTCAAATCAATCAAATTGATTGAAATCAATCAAAGAGTGCAAAGGTTAGTGGAGAGGGAGGGAAAAAGTGTGGATTGATGATGGGTATAAAAACATAGTTAGAATGAGTAAGATCTAGTACTTGATAGCACAACAGGTTGACTACAGTCAAAAATAATTTATGATATATTTTTAAATAGCTAAAATAGCAGAAATGGAATGCTCTTGTAATGAAGAAATAATAAATGCTTGGGGTGGTAAATACCTCAATTTCTCTGATATGGTTATTGCACATTATATTCCTGCATAAAACCATCACATGTACCCCATAAATATATACACCTACTATGTACACATAAAAATTAAAAATGAGAAATTAAATTTAAAAAATAGAATGGCCACTAAATCTCAGGTAATATAAAAAGAAAATTAAATCAAGTGCTTGCTTCAGTAGCACGTATACTAAATTTGGAAAGATACAGAGAAGATTAGCATAGCCCCTACACAAGAATGATATAAATTCATGAATTGTTCTGTATTTCAGGAATAAAAATCAAATTAAATCCTAATCAAATTACTATAAATACATGGAAAAGAGAAAAATCTAAAAAGAAATTACAGGGAAAAAGGCACATTATATACTAGAAATGAAAGATGAATATGACCAAATAATTCTTTTTGGAAAGAACCTAAGGCAAAAGACAAAAAAAAAAAATGTCTTTAAAGTGCTGAGGAAGAGGAGTACACCTCTTCAATTTAAAATTGTACAGCCAGAAAAAAATGTTTTTTAGAAAATGAAAAGAAATAAATACCAAACACTTATAGATTCATTACTAAATAACTTACACTACACTAAAATTAATACTTAGCAATTTTTTTCAAAATGAAATAAAATGACCCTAGGTGGAAATTAAGCACTCATATAGAAGTGAAGAGTAACAGAATTAGTAAATATGTGAGTAAATATGGCCTCTTCTCCTTTTCAAGTTTCCTTTAAAACATAATTGAGCCAGGCATAGTGGCTCACTCCTGTAATCTCAGAACTCTGGGAGGTTGGGGCAAGATGATCAATTGAGGCCAAGAATTCAAGACAAGCCTGGCCCACACAATTAGATCTCATCTCTACAAAAAAAAAAAAAAAAAAAAAAAAGGCCATTAAAAGAAAAACTAGCTGGGCATAGTGGCATACATCTTTAGTCCTAGCTACTCAGGAGGCTAAGACAGGAGGATCACTTGAGCCCAGAAGTTTGAGGTTACAGTGAGTTGTGATTGCACCACTGCACTCCAGCCTGGGCAACACAATGAGATCTGGTCTCAATAAATAAATAAATAAATAAATAAATAAATAAATAATTGATTATTTAAAACAAAAATAACAACATATTTTATTATTTAAAACATATTCAGAAGTAAAAGTATTAATACAACAGTACAACGGGTGACAGAGACAAACTGAAAAATATTTGCATAAGTGGTTAATGCTATGTAAAAAAGTCTGCAATATTGTTGGAAAGTATATTGTAATAAGATAAATATTGTTAACCTTAGATTGACCTGTAAAAGAAAATTAAAGAAAAAGAAAAAAAATTTAAATATAGCTAATTAGCCAAGAGTAAATAATACAAGGTATTAAATAAAAACCTAAAGGAGGTATGAAGGTAGGAAAGAAAACAGAAACAAATAGAAGTGGTCAAAGAGAAAGCAAACAGCAAAATGGTAGACTTAAAGTCAACCATACCACCAATTGCATTAAATGTAAAAGGTTGAAACAGTTAAATGGCAAAGATTGCAAAGGTGAACTTAATAAGACAGAGGAGGAATTGGAGGCAGATGAGGTAGTGGAGGAGGAAGAGGCGGAGAAGGAGATCAACTCTAAATTGTCAACCAGAAAACTACTTTCAATCTAACATATGTATAAAAAAGGATAAAAATTGTATACTATTCGAACACTATTCAAACAAAAGCTGGAATAGCTATATTAGCATCATAATAAGTACACATTAGAAAAAGAAATGCAATTAATCACATTACTTGTAGTATTTATGTTCTACAAAGTCACACAAGCACTGAATTAGTGAATATTGAACCACGATTCCAAAGAGTAAGTATACACACACACACACACACACACACATTTAACACAGATTATAATCTTAAATCCTAAAAAAAATTATGGTGGATTTTAATTTCTTAATGTTATAAAAAAAGAACAACAGATTCAGAAATGTTGAAGGACTTGCCCGAGACCACCCCACTAATGTCTGCCTGAGTTGGAATTCACACTCCCTCTAACTGGCCCCAGATCCAGAGCTTCTTCCCTTACACTGCCCTGCTCCTACCAAATGGTGAACTCTACATGAGAGATGAAGTAAGAAGGCAATGCCATCTTCTTTAATTTTAGTTGGGGACCTGGGGGTTGGGCAACTCAGTCATTTTGTGGCTCTGGACATGTCTGCAAATGACTGAGAAAATCTCTGAGTATTGATTTTGGGGTTAAAAATAAATTTTAGTGAGCAGGAAATTTGCAAATATGGCACACTCAAATAATAAGGATAGACAATATTAATAGTTGCAAAGAGGGGCATATAATAATAATAAAAGGGACAATTCACTGAGAAGATGTGACAATTCTGTGGGTATGCAACTGAGAGCAAAGATTCAAATCACAGGAAATAAAAATATACTGGAAAGAGAAATAGACAAATTCAATATTACGGTTGATGGTTTTAACATACCTTTGTCTATAATTTAAGGAATATTTAAATGGAAATCAACAAAAAGTAGAAATCTTAGAAAAATTATTATTCAATTTAACTTAAATCTCCATTTTATGGAAACTTTCACCCAATAGCAATAAAATTGACATTTCTCTGCTTATCTTAACTAATTTTTTGGATGATAATCAGTTAATTTTAGTTTTCCTGGAACTGAAGAGCAATACAATACCAAGAGAAGATAGAAGATAATGTTTACTGGAAGATGATTCTTGTTGTTTGTAGACTCAAAAATATTTTCTTTAAAGTCATTACTCTGGACATTGATATGAATATTAGACATAGAAATAAATGAATAGAATAGCTATACAAAACTTTTTCATAACAAATAACATGGAAAGAAAAGTTATTTTCTAAATGGAAGTACTCATCTATAGAAGTAAGATCTTTCTTGAGAATAATAGGAGAAAGGAACAGTTAACAGGCTAGGATTTTTTTCTTGTAAGCTAACAATCCTGTAATAGTGTAGTCTGCCTATTCATCTCAGCAGAACAGTTTTGAAAGGTTTTAGATTGAAGAGTTGAGAAATGAAACACAAAAGCAAAACTAGATAGAAAGATGTAAAAGGGAGTTAGTTTTTATGTATATTTTATCCACGTTACTTAAATCTACTTTGACAACTATTCTAATTCTATTGTCTTAAGCTTCTGTTAAATTAACATATTTATTATAATCCCTGCAGTATCACAGTTATTTTTCTTGCATGATATGAAACTTTTTTTTACAAAAAACTTTGAAAGTCTATGAGTTAGGCCCAATATCCCTTCTACCATTTTCCATAAAAAATCCTGAAAAGTAACTGATTACCTGAAAGTCCAGCAAGAGGGTACATTTACCAGCCTCTAGTTTAGCTGTTCAGCTATGTTCTGGCTAACCTCTGTGAACACATTCTGTAAATGGAAATGTGAGGAAAAAAATCTCCTTTGTGCCTTAAATGAGAAAGAGTATACATTTCCCTTCCTCAATACATCTTCTTCCCTTTGACTGAAGATATCACTGACCAAGTGGATCTGGGCAATACTAGAAAAGGCAGACTTCCAAGTTAGGAGACTGGGTAGGCCATGAATACACCCTTACCGTTATAGAGTTCTTATTTTTGTCCATGTCATAGAAGAAAGAAAGAAAAATAAAATTTGTGTCTTCCATGATTATCTTGTTTATAATTTCTTTTGTTGTTATAGCAAATAGACCTGAATCTTTATCATTTGTTATTAAACAATAACATGATAAAATTTTTTCTAAATTTGAATGTGATTTAAGTGAAAATGTTTATATTATTATATAATATAAAGTTCAATTTGGAATGAAAAGTGATACCTTTATTATCATGTCCACTATGTTTTGTTTTAAATTACATGGTTATTTAATAAGAACCATAGATTTGTTTTGCAAAATTATTTAAAATACATTGGGAGTCTGGGAAATTGCCTTAACAAATGAGCACTAGTGATACATTATAAAAACCTTATCTTTCCATTTTCCAGTGGCATTTTACGATGCCTTTTTGTGTTTTGATCTCATTTTGTATATTGAGGGAACAACACAGGAACAACAAACAGTTGAAAAAATAAACTGCTGCTAGTGAAGTGTGATGTTTCATCTGATAATGATCAATTTTAACATGCTCACTCTTGCATAGGCATTAAAATATCCTTTAAAAATCCACTGTTGCATTAATAATAATATTTTCACATCAAATAAAAATAAAATCATTTGCGAATGCAAAAGACAAATAAGAACCAAATATTTCAATAAACTCTGAAACTCGAATATTGTCATAATGGCTTAGAAACACTTTCATGTGTTACTGCACAAATGATTTTTATTATGCAATGGTAGCATATGCTAAGCAGTTATTCCTGAGCCATGCCCAGCATTTAATTTCTCATATTGCTCATTTAGACAGTAATGAGCTTTCTTATCAAATTTAACTTAAGTTGGAAGACTCATGCCACTATCTTTTATATACATCAATGTCCTTTATCAAAAAGATGTTTAAAACACAGAATTTGCATGAGAAGATTTTTTTTTACTAGATTGAATTAAGCAAGCTGTTCTAAAACATTTTTGTCCTTTAAGTTGTTTGCATTAACCTATAGCTTTTTAATTGTATTTTTAATTATCTTTTTCAATCACGTAATTAATTCTCATTTAACAATTTTTAAAAACTTTGTAGAAAAATTTAAAGATTGAACTTGAAAGTTTTTTACCTTCCACCTCCACTAAGATATGCTCTAAATTTTGTGTAATCTTTCAGAATTTTAATGCACTTTAATAGTTAATTTATGCATACATATAATTTTTTCTATTTAATTTAGTGTCCATAACTTTTATGAGTAATCTGTACTCACTAAGAATAGGTTTTATAAATATTTCTATGTTTAAGTTGCATATTTTTCACAGACCTTCATTTAGATGAACTTTTCATGTAAGTCTTTGTAGCAAATGCTTGTATTTTTATCTTTTTTGGATGCTTCAGTGAACATTCTGTGTTTATACCACTGGAGAAAGATATAAGTGAAATAAATTCCTAGAGGTACAAAGGATGATGTACATTTTAAATTTTGCTACATGCAGACCAAAAAATAAAAATAAAATTGATAGTATCATCTCATCTTTCTAGTGTTTTTATTTGCCTGACTGATATGTTTATTTTTTCCCATGTCAGTTTCACAATGTTTATATTTACTCAAGCTTCATAAAATATTTAATTTTTATTGAGGTGAAACCAAATCAATTTTTAAATAACTTCTTTAAAATACTTGTTTTATAAGTTTTTACTTTCAAATTTGGAAAAACAGGTATTAAACGTCTCATCTTCTTGCCTTTTTAAAATATTGAGAAAACTAACTACAATATCTTCTGTTTATTGTTCCATTTAGATTCTATTTTTATTATATCACTGTAGGTTATTTATACTGTTCTAAGAAATCATGCATCTACTTGGAATTTAATGTTATACGTATGCATAGAGTATTAATATCATGTGACTTCTTACAATCATTTTAGTATTTTCATAATGAGAGACTATATAGTTTTTCTTTTTCCTAATTGTGATGTATTTTATCTTCTCATGTTTTTCAAATTTTAAACTTTTAATGAAAGGTCATGAACATTTTAAAAGTCTTTTTAATGAATTACCTTGATATTTGCTATTCTTTAAAACATTTTTTATTGGTGGAATGCAATTTCTCCAGTTAGTTACATGATCTTTTTCAAATAGTCAGATTTTATCCCAATGTATTTTACTTTTGGTGATATACTTGAGATATTCACTGACCATCTTTTTTTTCAATTGCAAGCCTACATTCCTGCATTATCTTTTATATTTACTTTCCATAATTGCTTGCTCCTCTCCACTAGAATGTAAACAAGAAGTCAAAATTTTTCTCTGATTCAAAACTGTTTCTCAAGGCCTGGAAAAGCTCCTGACATGCAGTAGGCAATCTAGGAACATTTGCTGAATGAATGACATTTGTTATTGCTGACTATTTCCAAAATCATTAGTTTAAATTTTACCAAAAAATAATACTTAATGTGTGGTTGTTGTCTCTTACTAGTGATTGTTCTGATTGTTTATTAAAATTATTGAAGACATTTAAGTATTTGTTTTTTTCTCCAGTAACAGTCTTAGCACTATCTTTTATATCAATATTTTCCAATGAAATGTTTTTTATTTCATTACTTTATAGATAATTTAAAATTTTAGTACTGATTTTCTCTTTTATATTTTCTGATTACCGTAGCATAATTTACAATTTGTTTCTGCTCTTTGCTAAAATGATTAGTTAAGAAAATATTTCCAATTTTTCATAGAAATATGTTTTCTGACTGTTAAAAGAATATTGACTTCTAGTATAATTGCATCACAACCAAAAAACATTGCCTGTAAAATTGGTAATGGAGGAACTTATTAACATAATTATTCTCTGGAGAAGGGAAGTGTATGCATATTACATGCATCTATATTTTTAATCTATTTTTAGTCTCTTTTTTAGACAATCTGAAAAGTATATAAGCATGTATTACTAAAATTGTCTGAGTACTTTATGGTGCTCAAGGTTTAAAAAAATTAAATCCTCTATTTCTAGTTGCTTAATAGTGCAGGTACCATTTTACTTTGTGCCATTAGTCCCCACCTCCCACACTGTTGCATTGGGAATCACTTTTCCAACAAATGAATTTTGGGGGGAGTACGTGCATATCATTTGAAGAAAATGAAGTAAACTTTACTGAATTAGTATATCTCAGAGCATGTTAGATAGAACAAGTTTTAAAAACTGCATGTTTTTCCTGCTGAAATTAAATTGAACATTAATTCATTCTTGCAAGTGACAAAAGGGAAAATCCCTAGCATTAATAATAACCTTGAGACAATCTTCAGGGATAGCCTGTAATCCAGATGTCTTTATGGCCTTTTCTAATACTGCATCAATGGTTTCAAACCAGAAATTGCAATTCTATTACGTAAACAAAAGATAGGCTGGCAGATTGTTTCGCTGCATGAATTTTAGCATTTGGCTGCACAATATTAAGAGACATTAGAAAGGAAATATGTTTTTAAAAATATAGTTTAAAATGAAAGTATAGCCTTACGAATAAAGCAGCTTAATGGATATGCCCCTCCCTTAACGGGAAACAAAAACATAAACAACAAAATCATTTCTACAGAAACACTTACTCATATCATGAATATGAAGAGAGCCATGGAAAATTAATTGTCACATCCTTAAAAAGCAATAGAAGCCCTTTCCCAAGGGGATGTGAATGCATTTCAAGCAGGACTGTGTGCCCAATGTCCAATGATTTTCTTAAAACAACTAAGATAAAAGACTCACAACTGAACATAAATTAGGACTATAATCCTACCATTCTTTGTATCACTTACTATGAGTCATAAGATTCCTTCAAGGAGTAAATCTAAAGAGATTTAGATTTAAATTGCCTCTCAAATTCTCCCCTTAAATCTGTAACTGGAACTCTTGACCCTCTTACTAGCAAATATAGGTTCCTTCTTTGTAATACCACTCCAAAAAAATTTAATAGGAGAAAACTATAAAAATATGATGGTGAAGTCAAAAGCTCTTCACACATACACTTTCTACAAATCCATGGGGACTCTTTCATTCATGGATCATTAGTATGTCAATTGCACCCAAAACCAAAAAAGGACGGAAGCCTATTGTGGAATATTTCATACAAAAGCGACTTGTAATTCAACTCATTAGGTCTTTAACACTCATGTTGTTGACTGCTAAAAAAGAGCTTCTGCACAGCAAAAGAAACTACCATCAGAGTGAAAAGGCAACCTACAGAACAGGAAAAAATTTTTGCAATGTACTCATCTGACAAAGGGCTAATATCCAGAATCTACAATGAACTCCAACAAACTTACAAGAAAAAAACAAACAACCCCGTCAAAAAGTGGGCAAAGGATATAAACAGACACTTCTCAAAAGAAGACATTTCTGCAGCCAACAGACACATGAAAAAATTCTCATCATCACTGGCCATCAGAGAAATGCAAATCAAAACCACAATGAGATACCATCTCACACCAGTTAGAATGGCGATCATTAAAAAGTCAGGAAACAACAGGTGCTGGAGAGAATGTGGAGTAATATGAACACTTTTACACTGTTGGTGGGACTGTAAACTAGTTCAACCATTGTGGAAGACAGTGTGGCGATTCCTCAAGGATCTAGAACTAGAAACACCATTTGACCCAGTCATCCCATTACTGGGTATATACCCAAAGGATTATAAATCATGCCACTATAAAGACACATGAACACGTATATTTATTATGACACTATTCACAATAGCAAAGACTTGGAACCAACCCAAATGTCCAACAATGATAGACTGGATTGAGAAAATGTGGCACATATACACCATGGAATACTATGCAGCCATAAAAAAGAATGAGTTCATGTCCTTTACAGGGACATGGATGAAGCTGGAAACCATCATTCTCAGCAAACTATCGCAAGGACAAAAAAACCAAACACCGCATGTTCTCACTCATAGGTGGGAATTGAACAATGAGAACACGTGGACACAGGAAGGGGAACATCACACACCAGGGCCTGTCGTGGGGTGGGAGCAGCGGGGAGGGACAGCATTAGGAGATATACCTAATGTAAATGATGAGTTAATGGGTGCAGCACACCAACATGGCACACTCATACATACGTAACAAACCTACACATTGTGCACATGTACCCTAGAAGTTAAAGTATAATAAAAAAAAATACTAATAATAATAAAAATCAGTAAATGGTTGAAAGGCCAAAAAAAAGTTTCATGGGTTTATGAGCTATAAACAAGTTTGTGATCCTTTACTTTTTATGGGTACTAACTCAAATACCATTCTGTCTTCAGTAGCTCCTGGGATCACCCATTTTTGGTTGACTGGTAGACTTGTTCTTCCTTAGTTTACACTTAGATCCACACAATCAATATTTGTCTTCACATGGAAGAATAAACAATATCTCTGGACTGACATGCCCCTAGGGTTTTCTGAAACTTTCTTGTATTCTAATACATCACCAACCAACACCTAGAATTTAACATTCTCTTATGACTCTTACTTAATACAAGACATAAATGACATATTGCTATTTACAAAACAACAACGTTCTCTAACTGACTCTTTTTGTTAAATACTCTACCTAAGAAACAGCAAAAATATTCAAAGAGAAATTGAAATTGTGCCAGGAAAAAAATGCATTATTTAGAATACGGTATATTCCAAGAAGGTATGTAATCCAAAGAGATTATAATCTATCCCCAAATTTCTTGAATTAATTACCAGAAAAGCAGCTTTGCAGATATTATAAACTGGCTAAGCATTGTAGATACCAGGCACCAAACTTTTCTGAGGTCACATCCTTTTCATATAATCTAATCAAGTTTTCTATTCTTGAAACTCTACTCAAGAAACAAACAAAAAAACCCTCATGTATCAGATGTATAAGATATCAAAATTGGAACCCTTCCTTGTTTTCTGCATTTTAAAATAGATTCATAGTACTTTAAAAGTTGAGGTTTTCAAAATGTATTATTGTGAACACAGCTTTATACTGAGCACTACATCTTTTCCGGCAAAATATTTTCACCGGTACCTTATATTCTGTAGCATTTTTCATTGATGACATGAGCCTGAAAATAATATTTTTTTCTCTCCAAAAATAAAAAAAATAAGCCATGCATAAAGAAACACGTCAAAAGACTGAACTCCACAAAAGAGTGAATGTGATATACCCTTGTTAATTTTGCATGTACTATATAAAACAGAAACATGTAGTACCACATGTATTCTAATTCTTTAAATTAACTTCCATATCTGATTAATGGATAAGTACTAAAATAAACTAATTTGATCAAACCCTTCATATTTATTATATGTATTTTAAATACACAATATGTGAATGCAAACACACACATTTGTGTACAGACATATATATACAGTTGGCCCATTGTATCCATGAATTCCACATCTATGGATTCCACCAACAGTGGATCAGAAATTAAAACAAACACACACACACACACACACAAAGTAAAAAATAAAAACACAATTTAAAGAGAAAAATGAAAAATACAGCATAACTATTTACATAACATTTACATTGTGTTAGGTATTATAAGTAATCCAGACATGATTTAAAGTATATGGGAGGATGTGCATAGATTATATGCACATAACGTGTCATTTTATATCAGGGACTTGAGCATCTATTGATTTTGCTTTACACAGGAGGTCCTGGAATCAACTCTCTCACATAAAGTAAAGGAAGACTGCTTATACTTTCTGCAAAACAAGAGCAATTGTTTAGAATTTAAAGCAAAAAAAAAAGTATGTTTTGTTTTTTCTTTTTCTGGGAGGGATATTCTATCACAGGCATTGTTTAAAATTGCTGGTACATTTCTTCTGTCAACCAAAAGCTATGCATTTATCAGTTACTAAGAAAACAAACCATGCATTTGAAATTTCAACTCTGATTCATGTTCTTTTCCAATTGTAAGATGATGTGACTAAATACTGAAAGAGACACTCAGTCTCGTTACCAGCCGGTAATACCATCCCTTCCAAATTATTCACCTAAGAAGTCTCTGAGTGTCCTGAAACATGGAAGCCTCTTTCTTGAAAGAGGCACTGAGAAAGAAACCTTTCTTAAGTTTCTATGGGTTTGGCCTTGTAACTGTTAATAACTAGTATAACTGTAAAATTGCAACATATTAATCCTTAGGCTTATGTATTACTATTTTTAAAAATCATCATTTCTTCTGGACTATATAGTAGGTCAAAAATTTGTAGAAAGCCTCTAGAAGTAGACAAAACTCAGAAGATGAGAGATGACTTAACATTCTCAAGTCTAACATGACTCAACATTCTCAGGTCAAGCAGATGATGGGACGAAGCAGACAGCTTCCACCCAAAATGATAAAACATGATTAATTTTCTGATATGTCAATTTATTTATTTCCCTTTGATTTACTACTTATTATAATTCTCATGATATTTTGTTAGCTCTGTGACCACCTGCTCTCTCAGTTGTTTTTGAGTATCTTCACCATATTGTTCTTCACCTCGTACCACCTTCTATCACCTAAGGAAAGGCAAAACTCTCATGTTTTTCTCAAATTATAGTTTCTAATCTAAATCTAATTAATGGCAAATTTGTCATATGCCATGTAATTCTAAAGACATAAATTTAATAGCTATCCCTTTCACCACTTAAAAGGCATATTTTATTTGCTTCCACAGGTTCCCTCTGATATATAAATTGTCCTGTCATTAGTAACCTCAACAATTAATCTTGTAAAAATTGGCTTTCCCCTCTGAGTCACAAAAATACTTTCACTAAAGTAATACTAGAGTTCTCAACAGAAAACAGCTCACCAGTGAAAATAAATATGCAGTTATCATTTTTACTGCAGCCAGTTTATTCTCTTAAGATAACTTTTAACCTGTAGTTACTATTTATTTTTACTCAGAAAATTTGCCTGCATTCAGATACTAGTAATTGGCTTGCTTTTCTAGTAATAAACAATACTTATACTCTAGTAATAAACAATACAATCCTTTCTGTGCCCACTAGGGCACAACATCTCATGTGGAAGCCAAGCTTGCTTGGCTTAATTGCGTACTCATTTGTCCTGTGTATAATATTTCAGGCGATTGTTAGAGGCTTTCATATATCTAAAACTAGTGTCATGTATTTTTCTTAAAAAGATACTCAAAAGTAAGGCAAGCATACCTACCTATTCAGGAGAGCTCCCAGGAAGAATAACTGACTCCCTCTTCATACATAATGTGTAAGCCACATTTTCAATGATACAATAATAAAACTGGAAAAAGTTTTTTTTCAAATTTGATTTCTGAACCTAGGAAAAGAAATCAATTACAGTATTATGTTTTAGAGATTCTCAAAATTAGTTTATACTGATTAACTGGTTTCATAAGCCAACAGCTATCCCTTGATTCCTCTTCATTAACAAAGAAAGAATTTGGCTGGGTGTGGTGGCTCACACCTGTACTCTCAGCACTTTGGGAGGCCGAGGCAGGTGGATCTCGAGGTCAGGAGTTTGAGACCAGCCTGGCCAGTCTCTACTGAAAATACAAAAATTAGCCGGGTGTGGTGGTGGGCACCTGTAATCCCAGCTACTCAGGAGGCTGAGGCGAGAGAATCTTTTGAACCCAGGAGGCAGAGGTTGCAGTGAGCAGAGATTGCACCACTGCACTCCAGCCTGGGCAACAGGGCAAAACTCTGTCTCAAAAAAAAAAAAAAAAGAAAGAAAAGAAAGAAAAAAAGAAGGAATTTGTGCTATATAAAATTCCTGCTGCATTTATATAAATGTGTGACTTCTCTAAAATAAAAGAACAATCGAATCTAAAAAATAACCTAGCTAGATGTTAGAACATATGTTAATAATTGGGATTTGTTTTCTAGGCCCTAGCTTCATAGCTCTTTACATGAACAAATCAACCTTTGATTTTTGTAACTGTATGCATTGTAGCTGGCCAATGTTTCCTATTTAGAGTAGTGTTAATAATGTGAAGCCATTGTCACATTAGATAATTCAATAACTCAACATGTTACAAAAGGAACAGGAGGGAAACACTCTTGTCCAACTATAGACAACAACTTTCTCATCAACAGAATCTTAAAAACCATGTGAATCTGGCCTCAACAAATTAAAATCCTGTGTCTTAAATGCAGCCTGATATCAGATGCTGTTAGCCAAAAAAAGTGGCTTAGAGAGGAAGAAAAATGTCCCTTGTAGGATCCAGTTGACAACAGAAGAAAAACAGCTAGCATGGAGTCTTTCCTACTGGACATGAGCAATTTCACAATATATAAACATCATACGAGGACTCTTCACAGACTTGATGGAACAAGGATGGAACAAGACCCAAACAAGAACACTCCATAATCATTGTTAAGTGATGTCTGAAAATAGCCAAATACAAGGGCACCGCTATGCAAAGACAAACCCCAAATAATTGTCTTTCACTGGAGATATATATAATAGATAGATAGATAGATGTGTAAACTCACATACATACACTTATACACACATCCCACACACACATCTCTCTCACACACACACACACACACACACACACACACATCAAATCTCTTTCTTTCCTACTAGTGCCTAATCTGGAATAGACCCTTGCTTCCTTGAGTGCTCTCCTATGTCATTTATTATTGGCTCACACCTTATAATATCCTCTCCTTAAAGAGACATCTCTTGACTCCTCCAATTATATTGCTATAGCAAAATAATCAATTTAATTGTGATTGATCACAGCTGTGGTTTTATGGGTATTTGGCCCTGGGCATTATTAATGTCAATGACTAATTGAACAAGAGGTCACTAAAAATATAACATATGAATATTCTGGTTAGGTGATACTTAATCAAGTCTGGTTGGCAGAAGCCTAAGTCAATTCATACTCATTTTTCAGACCTAAGCAAATTTGCAAAGATAAACTCAAGTGACACCTTATGTTATGAATGTTATTCTCTACTTTCTGCATCCTGTTCTATGACTGAAAGGTGGATTTTTATTGGCCACATCAATGGATTGATTCCTTTCAATTTTATGATGAGATTTTCACAAAAAGAGATGCTGACAGGGGATACAGAGAATGGGAAAAGAGAGAGTTAGAGGTATTTAGTCCCCCAACTCTCTCCTATTCTGCCATATCTCTCTGCATTGGTTGTGTTAATCTTATGAAGGAGAGAGTTCTTGCCAAGTGATCCCTTCCACGTAGTTCTCCCTGTCTGTATCTCTGTCTTTTTCCCTATCTCTATAAATGGGCACTGTATTATCCCTTGCTCCTTTTCTTAAAGTCAGCTCCACACCTTTGTAACTATTTTAACTCTTTTCAGATTTTAGAATATGTGAGAGTACCATTTCTTTTTTTCCAAAAGCTTT
This sequence comes from Homo sapiens, assembly GCF_000001405.40. Classification (NCBI taxonomy): domain Eukaryota; kingdom Metazoa; phylum Chordata; class Mammalia; order Primates; family Hominidae; genus Homo; species Homo sapiens. The sequence goes on along the minus strand of NC_000004.12, from coordinate 135,301,732 downwards.
ATAAGCGAACTTCCTGAAGCCAGTTTCATTGTATTTTTTTACACCTATTGGATGTTCATGACTTTTTCAATTCTTATAGTGGTTTCTTTCACTCACTAACAAATTATTATTAAATATATATGCTATCTGTGCTAAATAATTAATTTTGCTATACCCCACAAACTATGTTTTCTATTATTTATTTATGGCTCCTCCTTTGTATTTACTATTTTACATGAAGAACACCAATCGTGATTAATATTTATATTTTAGTTGAAAATGTGACCTATTTGTAAACACTTCACTGGATATGGTAGCTAATGAGATGTTACGTATGTTCTGTTTTGGGAATAAATAATTATACATTTTATAATTAATTTCTTCACCTCTTTCCCTCTTTATCATTACAACATTTTTGAGATTTTCAAATATAGTTTAAAATTGTTTGCTCCAGTCCCTTATTTTGTTTTGTACTAGAAAATATGAACTCTGTCTCAAAAATATTTAATGCCTATTTTTAAATTCACTCTTGTATATTCAACATATATTTACTGAGCATCTACTCCATGCAAGAAACTGCCCTAGGCATTGCAAATATAATAGTAAACAAAATAGTCTAAGGACTCCTAATGGGCCAATATTCCAGTAGGGAGAGAAACCATACAACATAAACCTAGAAACAAATGTGTAGCTTAGTCACATTAACATTTTTGTCTATTTTGATTAAATTCTATATTTAAAGTATATTGATCATGAATTTTACATTTTTCAAAATCTATAGAATGTGCAACACAAAGAGTAAACCTGAATGTAATCTATGGACCTCAGTTGGTAGTACATTAATATTGATTCATATATTATAACAAATGTACCACATTAATGCAAGGTGTAATGATAAAGCAAATACTTCACAAATAATAGAATATAAATTATACTTTATTGATAATTTCAAATAGTGAATTGATTCTTATAGAATGCCGTTATTGATTTCAGTCAAATGCTCATATCTGTAGTGTAGGTGAGACAAAATTTTACCTCTACTTTCTAGAGTTTTTCAGTTGGACATGACAGTTACATTGAGAAAAGACAGATCAATAGAAAAAAAGTATATAGTTTATTTAATACAAGTTTTATGCTCAATCAAGACTTCATAATGAAATTAAAACTCAATGACACAGAGTTAAACACTTGTATACTGAATTAGACCAAAAGAAAGTAAATGTGAAAATGTTGCAAGGTAAGGCAACTAGAGCTATGGTATACAGTAATTAATTGGGTGGAGAAGTTACTAGGAAGATAAGGATTAGTTTGATAAAGTTTGTTTTTACAGATTTTTCTAGCCTCAACTTCCCATCCTAGATGATAAGAATTTACAGTCCTGGAATAAGGAAAACATCATCTTTCCTATTGGAATTTTATTTCCTGCTTTTTGAAAACAGAAGGAAGGTCAGAATGTTTATCTTGCATCTGCTGTTTTTAAGTGCCTTTAACTGAAAATAGTGTGCCAGAGTGGCATATTTTGGGGTGGCATGTTCTGATATCCTTCAATAGACAGTCTACGGTTACGCCAGATGAACAAGGGTAGTTTTGACATTAAATTTGATTGATATTTTCTTTGCATTAACAAGTAAGAGAAAAAAGAAATTACAAAGCCATATGGTAGGCATTCACTTGTTCATTGACCACGTGTGTGATTAATTTGCTAAAACATATTATAATTTTAAAATATTGGAAAGACATCTCTTTAAATCTTTTGTGCCATTTACAATGTAATGATTAAAGTTAAGACAGTTTTGAGCTTAATTTGTGTTATTAACATATTCTTCAGTCCTGATATGTAGCATTTTCCAATTTCAAGCTGTTAAACTACTATTAGCTACAATCAGGCTGTGAATGCCTTTCAGAGTCCAAAAATGCCTGCTCTCCAATGCTGGAGAGCATGTGGCCATGGAAGGAAAGGTATAAGAAGAGTCTCTCAGAAAATGAAACTTATTACAGCCAGGTGAGCCAATCAAGATACATAGTTTCCTTCTTGGCAAGAAAGTCTCTGCTTTTCCATGAGATTTGGAGTTTGCTGTTCACCAGTGGCCATAAAATATTTATTCCTTCTATTTCTGAATAAAATTTTACTATACTAACTAATATACAATTGTGTATGTGATACATTGCAAGGAAATAACCTGAAGAATTTCACACATGACCCAAAGATTCTGAACCTTAAGGTAGATGCAGCAAATGAAATAGGATATGTGTTGTTTCATATAGAAAGTGGGAGAGTTGATATTCTTCAAAAAGATGAGATGAGTGTGCAGGACTACTTGGGAAGGGAATGGATTGGATTATGGAAGAATCTTTTAGTTGAAACCCAGGAAACATGTTCAACTTTTCTTCGGTAATTAAGACTTTAATTCTTATGAGGCATATGTTCACCCAGAAAAAAATCTTTATATATGTAAATAAATATATGCGGGTATGCCTGTCTCTGTGTGTGCACACATTATATTTCCTTGCTTCTCCTGCAACCACATATGGCCATGTATACAACATAACTGAATTCTGTCCAATGAGATGAAAGGTAAATTCTGGGGGATGTAATATCTCTAATGTGTTCTAAAAGTAGAAGATGAATGTTTCTTCTCCTTGTGTTGAGGATGTTTATAAGGAGGGAGGCCATCATGAATCCCCTGGATAAGGACAACATCCTAGGCTTGGTATAACCTATAAACCACTGAGAAGAAGCAGTAATGAAAGGAGGCTGCCTCCACGATAAGTATTCGAACAGCCTTGCAGCCTTACATAAGGAGTAATGGCAGTGAATGCCTGAGGGCCGCTGGTCATTAAATCCTGTCTTCAACTTACCATCCAAGCACAGGTTTCGTGCTACACTGCTACTACCCAGAGCAAACAAGCAATGCTTGTCAGAAGGGTATGGGGGAGAAGCAAGAGAAACATTTTTGAAAGTTTTTCTCCAATCTACCCTCTTACATCTTACTCCAAAATTTCTCTTCTTTGGGCTGTGGCAACTCAATTTCCACACAGATATTAATTAAAAACATTCTTTAATCTTCTTAGAGATTTGTTAAGTTTTTGGATGCTGCCTGAGTTACTAGAATTCAGGTTTATTTTTCCTCTAGCTTCTAGATTCTCTTCAGTGTTGATTTTGAGGGAAGGAGCCAGTAGTCTGTGGCAGCTTGGCTTATCTTCACAGAAACTAAACTATAGAGGTTTGTATATTTTCTCTCTCTAAAAAAAAGGAAAAGAAAAGGACAATTGTACAAGAAGTTGAAGAAAACAAAGAACCTGCCATTCAACTTGAACCTGAACACTTCAATTTTACTTACTTTGATTGCTAGCTCTTGAGAGGTATTTCAAACAACCTACCTTGTAGAGCTACGAGTCTATTAAGACTTGTAAATAGCATAAATCTACGTGAAAATTAGAGCTTTAGATGATATATTACTGTAATAGAAGACCACAAAATATTAAGAAAGTTGAATAAAGTCTCACTCCTATAGTTTTGTCTGACCGTTATTATGGTTAATTGAAAAACTAGCAGTGTTGTAAGTGCTATCACTTTCCTGGTTAGTACTATGCAATTTGTAAAAGATGAGACCCCCTTCAAACTCACCTCAAATATTAACGTTCGCTTGGAGTTATTTAAAATCCATGAAGGCCAGAATAATTGATTTTATTCCTTCATTTCTTATTTAGTGTAAATCAAAGTTTTAAGTCTAATGTTCAAATGTAATTTAAAATTAGTTCTTAATTATATAAGGTTGTCTAAATTTCATATTGTCTTATGTTTTTCATTTCATAAATCCAAAAAGTAATTTATTACTTTCAATTTATTATTGTGTCATATAGGTTCAGAAAGCAAGTCTCCCTTCTAAATTAAAAATGCTCTATAATTAGGTGTTTTTTAAGTATTTCTGATGCTTTTCGATTTACTGTATTTGCTCTATGAGCAACTACATAAAATAAAATAATTCTTCTAATATATGGGAGAGCTGGTAAAGTTTTTCTACCATGAGTCTGACAGAAATGAGACTCAATCACTTTATGAATGATTTTTAATTTGGTAATCTTTCTGCTCAATTGAGATCAGCAGGTTTTTAAACATTACTGGGTCAGAATATTTTATTAGAAGTCCATGCACTCATGTACGTGCTTAAAACAATTTATCATTACCCTTTCCATTTGAAAAAGTTTTACTGACTTAGAGTTAATATACTGTACAGAGTATGATTTGGTAGGGTCTGATCCTTTTGCTCTTTGGTTAGTTAATAATACAGATTTATTCCTATTTCTTTTTGGCTTTACCTTCATGTTCAATTCCATTGAAATGCATAATTAATTAAGTATTCAGCTGCTTGAATTACAAAGGAAAAACACTACAATGTCTGCTTGTATTTATAATCACTCCAGTAGTCAAATATTGTAAAGTATAAGAAAAAAGAGTGTAAACAAATAGAAGTGAATGAATAAATGAGTGCGTTTTGATATGTTTAACACAGAAATTTTTTAAATTTAAATATGCTAAAAATAATGATAAGGATGTAAAATAAACAGTTGAACTTTTTAAAGCTGTGATTTTTAAACTATGGTTATTTTTTTTTTCTTTGTCTAACATCAAAAGTGAATCTTTTAACAGTTACCATATCTGGCATATGGCAGGCTCAAATTTTAAGAGAAATTCTAAAATCATCAACATTACTTATCCTAAAATTATGATTGTTTTGATAAAGGTATTTAAATGACAGTTTAATAGAGAAACAGTTAGTTTAATTCCACTGAATTCTGTTGCTTTTCTCCATAATGATTGGGCTTACTCTTTCATCAGTCACACAGTTATGAAGGTCAATTATGTGTAAGAAGACGATAAAGTGTTGAGGATTCAAAGATGAGTAGGAAATAATCAATGCCATTGAGATCTATCCAAGATGTCCCTTAATTCCAGTTGAAAGAACACTTGGTACATCAGACATTAATCTCTACCTCTCTTAAAAATGTTTCGTGCATTTGATATTCTTTGAGTGATTTTCTATTTCATCTCATGTTCAATTTATTATTTCATGAATATTTCCAAATTTATACAAACTTGTCCTTCACTTTTATAAGTTTTTATACTATTGCCTTCAATTCTCATATCACTGTTACCCTCTATCTCTCCCCCATCAAAGAACCTAAGAGCTTTCTTTATTTTTTTTAATGTTCCAAATATGTGTATTTTTTTTAATATGCAGTAAAAGGTAAAACTAATGGATAAGTACCTGGCTAAAATTTGTTGTAATTTGTTGGCCACTAATAGGCTAATAGGTAAGCGTAGTTTCATAAGATTCATTCTTAGGACACTTTACCAGTGTAGGGAGCAATGTACCACCTTTAAGTATATACACAAATCTGAAATTCTAAAGACAACAATTATTTGTTTGAATATTACTAAGTAATCATACCTTTAAGATAGATGCATCAATTTTCCACCAAATTTTAATATTTCATTATTTGTGTTATTTTTACTGCTTAAAAAAATAAACTTTACTGAATACCTTTAATTTGACTTAGTTTATAAATGGAAAAACCCTACTTTAATTGACTTTTCCATAATTATTTGTTGTCAGTTACCCATTTTAACACATGAGGAAACTAACACAGAGACATGATTTTTTATCTAGAAAAAGGCTGAATGGAGGTTCAAAACACGTTTGGTGGTAGAGTGATTCAATAGGCACTGCTATTAATTACAGTGCCTTTTAGGTAAAAAGAGATTTGATAACTGATTTGGCATAAAATATTACTGTAAATTTTTGTAAAATGGTGTTTAATTAACCCTAGTAATTATGATAAATTCATTAATAAGAAAGTCTCAACAATATTCTATTAAAAGCTTAATAATATGTACTTAACTCATACACTGTAGTACAATTTTTCAATATCTAAATGTTAGAATTAGGCTGCCTGAGTTCCAACATTACTAGTGCTTTTAATTAACAATGTGATGCCTATTTAATTTACTTTTCCAAAACTCAATGTTTTTTTCTATTTTCTAATATTTAATATTATATCCATAAGTTTGCTTTTAAAATTAAATGAAAAGCTTGTAACATAGAGCACATTACATAGCAAATGCTCCATTAATATTAGCTGTTGTTTTCCTTTAGGTGAACTATTTTGCAAGAGTAATTATATTCTTTCTTTTTCCCAGTTTTCTGAAATCAAAGAATAAAACATTCAAATTCCACTGAAAATTCTATCATTGTATAAAAATACACTTGCAAAATACATTCATAAAATTTTTCTTCCATGAATACATATTTTATAGAAGCCAATTTAAAAGAATTTAATAAATGCCTACCTTAAAGTCAAGCTCTTAGGGCAAAAGATAAATATTATACCACTTCCTACCCTCACAGTAGTAATGGACCAGTTTGAGAATCAGAAACAACAGCAAATCTTTAAACACTATGCTAATAAAGGGACAAGCGCAGATAGAAATGAAGTAGAGCAGAGCAATGTTATTGAAGGTTGTATGTGAGTGTGGGAGTTCATTTTTGTGTGTCTGCATGTGCATGCATACATGTGTGTGTATTAAGTGAGGAATCTAGTATCTGAGGCCAAAGAAATAGTACATAGAAATATAGGGGGATGAATGACAGAATATATTTAAGGAATCCACAAGCATAAAGAGAGGCTTGGATACAGTAACTAGAAAGTCCTAATGATCTTGGTCCTGACCAAGTGGACTGATTCTTCTCAGACATACACATTTGCTCATTGAGGTGTGCAAAAATTGTAGTAGAAAATACAGGCTTATATGTCTCAAAAGTAAGAAGTAAGGATTATGTGCTTCTTTATCTGCTTCTTGGTCATGTATGCAAAGTCCAACAATTTTTTCTCATTACATAAACTTGGGTTCCCTTCCTACTCTTGAATCAATCCATGTGTAATGTGGGATGAAAGGCTCACATTTTCCAAGCTTGAATTAGAACCTCACAGCTAATTCTGCAGTATTGCTCAAATAAACTACTTGTACTGAGAGAGGGAAGATGGCTTGCTCTCCAACAACAACTAAGTGTATTTTCAGAAATTTAAACACATATTTGATTGTCTAAAAAACAAACTAACCAACAAATTGGAACAAAGCAAAATTCAGGAATTGCTGAAGTCAGGGGGTCATGGCACTTGTCTATGCTTTATGGATGAATTTCATGTGGACTAGGTTGAAGTCTATTATAAATTTTCAAGTAATAGATACCAGGGACATAAGCTCAGACACTAATAATGAAGATGAAGAGAGGGGTCATATCACTGATATTTAGTTTCCAAATCAGTGAATGGAAAAAGATATTTGATATGGGACGTCTGGTTCCAAAATGGAGGCATAGAAGCAAGCTGGCTTCACTTCCCCCAAAAGAAAAACAAAAACAAATAGATGGTGCTCAGATTATTGCCAGCAATATCCCAGAACTCAAATGTGAGTATGAGACAGTTGTTAGGGCCACAGGAAAGTGAAAAATCTCTGAGCAGATGGTAAGAGAATCAGACTTCCACATACACAATGCCCCACCCCTCATTCTGCATGGTACCAAGCATGTAGAAAGTTTTTCCCTATCCTACAGCTTCTACACTGGAAACAGTGACATCAAGGTGAACAACCAGCTTCCCCAACCATCTTGAGTACCTTGAAAGGAGATCTGTTCTTACCTTAATCCACAGGAAGCATTGAGTGCCAGAAAGAAGAAATACCCCTGAAGACAGGCAGAAACAAAAGGGGAAGGCAGGAGTACCATCCCCAAACTCTAAAAACTCTGTTCTGTAACTTGGCCCAAATGACACCAAATCAGAGTGGTTGTTCAGCAGCACCATATTGTAAGAGGTTCATTTAAAAAGTCCCCTAGGTACAAACCCCTAGTGAGTATTCTTACACTGCTAGAATATCCCCTTTGGGACCTCCCCCATTTTGAAAAGACAGTGCTATGATTGTTTACTAGAGTCAATGTGAATCTGAGCCTAAGGCACCACCTAGAGCCAAAAAGGATTCAGTGACCTAGCAGTAAAGAGCCTCTAAGCAAATATATCAAATAAAAACCAAAACAAACCAGAGAATATTGGAATAAATAACTAATCCTTCAATGTGAAGACATATGTATACATCCACAAGAAACTGCAGCAAACAAGGAACCATGATGTCCACAAATGGACAAAGCAAGAAATCAGTGACTAACCCCAATGAGATGGTAAAATTTCAGCTCTCTGATAAAGAATTTAAAACTGAAGTTTTAAGGAAGCTCAGTGATCTTTAAGAAATATAGAAATCTCTCATCGAATGAAAGTCTAGGACCTGATGGCTTCACTGCTGAATTCTACTAACATTTAAAGTATAATTAAGACCAATTCTACTCGAATTCTTCTAAAAAATTGATAAGGAAAGACAACATTCAAACTTATTCTATGAGGCCAGCATTATCCTGATACCAAACCTAAGCAAGGAAATAACAACAAGGAAGAAAAACTACAGGCCAATATCACTAATGAACATAGATGCAAAAGTTCTCAACAAAATACTAGCTAATTGAACACATTACGCATTAAAAAGATCATTCACATGATCAAGTGGAATTCATCTCACTAATGCAAGGATGATTCAATATATGCTTATCAATAAAGATATACATCACATTTACAGAACCAAGTACAATGCTATGTAATCATCTAAATTGAGGCAGAAAAGATTCAATAAAATTTAACATTCCTTTATGATAAAAATGCTCGTTAAACTAGGTACAGAAGAACATACTCCAAAATAATTAAGGCCATATATGAAAAAAGCACAGCTAACATTGTAATTAATGTAGAAAATTGAAGACCTTTTGTCTAGGATCAGGAACAAGAAAAGAATGTCCACTTCTACCACATTAATTCAAAATAGCACCTCAAGTCCTGGTCAGAGCAAGTAGGCAGGAGAAATAAATAAAGGACATCCAAATTGAGAAAAAAGAAGTTAAATTAAAGGGCATACAAATTGGAAAAAAAAAAGAAGTCAATTAATTTATCCTTGCTCACAAACGACATAATCTTATTCTTTGAAAAATTTAGACTCCACCAAAAAACTCTTAGAAAAGATAAATTCAATAATGTTGCAAGACACAAAATTAACATACCAATATCAGTAGCATTTATACATACTAACAGTGAATAATCTGAAAAATAAATCAGAAAAGAATCCTGTTTACAATAGATAAAGAGAATGTAAAATTCCTAAGAATCAATTTAAAAAAAGAAGTGAAAATTCTATACAAGGAAAACTATAAAACACTGATAAAAGCAATTGAAAATTTCACAAATGAATGGAAAGATATTCCATGCTCATGGAACTAATACTGTTAAAAATAATAATACTATAAAAAGCAATTAATATATTCAATACAACTCCTATTAAAATACCAATGACATTCTTCAAAGAAATAGAAAAAAAAACCCTAAAATTCATATCAAACCATGAAGACCTTGAATAGCTTGAGCAAAAAGAACAAAGCTGGAGGCATCACATTAACTGACTTCAAAATTTGTGACAAAGCTATAGTAACCAAATCAGCATGAAACTGGCATAAAACAGACTCGTAAACCAATGGGACAGAATAGAGAACCCAGATATAAATCCAAGCATTTACAGCCAACTTATGTTCAACAAAGTTGTCAAGGAAATACTCTGGGGAAAGGGCAGTCTCTTCAATAAATGGTGCTGGGAAAACTGGATATCCATATGCAGAAGAATGAACTAGACTCCCTATCTCTCACCATACACAAAAATCAAATTGAAATAGATCAAAGATTTAAATATAAGACCTGAAACTATAAAACTACCAGAAGAAAACATTGGGGAAATGCTCCACAGAACTGGTCTGGGCAAATATTTCTGTGTAAGACCTCAAAAGCACAGGCAACTAAAGCAACAATAGATATATAAGATTACCTCAAGCTAAAAAGCTTCTACACAGCAAAGGAAACAATCAACAATGTATTGTGACAATGCATTAAATGGGAGAAAATCTTTACAAACCACCCCCTTTGACATGGAATTAATAACCAGGATATATAAGGAGCTAGAAGAGAATAACTGAAACATTTCTATCAGAAAGAAAAGACAGGGCAAGGTGGTTCACATCTGTAATCCCAGCACTTTGGGAGGCCAAGGCAAGCAGATTACTTGAGCCCAGGAGTTTGAAACCAGCCTGTGCAACATGGCGAAACCCTCTTATCTATGAAAAATACAAAAATTAACCAGGTGTGGTGGTGCATGCCTGCAGTCCCAGCTACTTGGGAGGCTGAGTTGAGAGGCTGGGAGTTTTGCTTGAGTATGGGAGGCAGAGGTTACAGTGAGCCGAGATCACAGCAATGCACTCCAGCCTAGGTGACGGAGCAAGACCCTGTCTCAAACAACAACAACAACAATGAAAATAGACAGATATTTGAGGTGATGACATCCCAAGTGCACTGATTTGTTCTTACAAATTATTTGAATGTATTCAAAACTGTGAATACCTATTATGCATCAATTAGAAATATATTTGATGAGTTAGAAGGTATAGTCAGGAATAACTCCCAGACTTCTAGATGGGCCTGATTTTGGGTAAGAAGATGAAGCAGTTGTAGGGTATCTGTGCTTTCTATATCCTAGAAGCCATGTTAAGTGCTTTGTTACAAAATCATTTCTGCTTAATCCTTATGACAACAGTAATGAAATAGAGTATTCCTTCCTATTTGACAGATAAATACACTGAGTCTTATAAACTAAAAATAAGAGAAACTTTCTCAAGGTCCCTCAGTAAGGTTGGAGTTAACATTTGGTTATAAACCTCCTTCTCTGGGAAGATAAAAATATATCCAGATTTACATAAATGGTAAATAGCAGAAGTGGAGTTAAAATATCCTGCACAGAATATTTAGGAAAATTAGGCTGAAATAAGACATGTAAGGTGATATAAGTTACATTAATAAATAGTTGCAATATTAATGAAATTCTCCTTGATTCTAAAATGGCACATTTTAAAATATTGGAACTTAAAACAATTATGTATATAGTTCAACATATGTGTTTAGTTAATACTAACCTGATATAATCTGCTGTATATTTTAGTTAAATCAGTCTTAACTGATAGAGCTAGTTTTATATATTATTTGTGACTCTTACACTCTGCATTTTTTACAAGCATCTGAAATCATAGGTATTTCACAACCTTTTGTCAATAATTTTTTGACAATTTAACAGGCAAATTGTACACATTTCTGATTTTTAACCCTGGAATGTCTTCATTTTAAGTTTTACACTTTCTCCCTTCTTTCCACATTTTAGCTGAAAATGTTTTTAATCAGATCACCAACTCCTGCCAGATCCATTCGTCCCGGGCCATGTGAGAAGTGCCCAATTCCTGCCAAGTCTCTCAAACCAAATTCAGTTCTTCAGCACCATCTACCTAGCCAATGCTTCATTTTTTCATACACTCTTTTCACTTTTAATGTCATACTATTCAATAGGAAAATGAGATAAAAAAACCATCTGTGTCCCCTATAAATAAATTCAATTTACTAGATAAAACTGCAGGTTTCTTTTAGCAATATCACTTGCTCTTGCACTGGTCAGAAGGGGGTAGAGGTTGATGGATTTGATAAATCTTGGCATACTCTCTGTCGTTTCTTAGTAAAATGTTTCAGAAAAGCAAGACATTTCTAAATTAGCTTCATGAGGATTCTATGTCTTACAACACTGACCTTCTTTCCAAGAAACCGTGGCCTAATTTTCCAATGACTTTTAGGAGATGTTGCCGTGGTTTCCAAAAAAGTAGTGGTTTTATTTTTCTTCTTTTTGTTCTTGTTGCTTTTGTTGCTGTTTTTTATCCTTTAAGTCTGCATGTTCTAAGAACCACATAGATAAAGAAGCTTCTTAACCATTAAGTAGGCCATTAATTTCTGCCCCTCTAAGCTTGTGATATCAATTCCTTGTCAAAGATAAGGATAGTTTTCGATACTGCTTTTTCCACTGTTATTTCTTAAACATTTAGAGATTATCATCTCATTATACCTATATGTAGCTTAATGACACACTCTAATGTGTTATCTCCTTACTGTGACACAGTAAATATCACAAGGCTGTAAACTTTGCAATTCTAAATTTGTTTCTAGTCTTTCAACTGGAGCTACTGGCCAAAGGAAATTCAATAAGGTCTCTGAATTCCAGTTTGCTCATATCTAAAATAGGTATACATATTTTACATATATATATAATATATACAAATTTTTACATATATATATACATTTTTACATATATATATCTAAAGGCTATTTAAAATATTTTAAAAATATGTGAATGAGTTATATGAAAAAAACATAACAGGTTTTACTTTTCTTTCATCAAATTAGTATAAAAAATTAGAGGGCAATGTTTCTGATAATTTGTTATATATTTTACATTCTGAACTGAAATTTGTCCAAGGAGAGAACTACTCTGAGAAACTGAATCTGTCTTAGTCACTTTCAATATCTAAGAACCAATTTTTGATTTTTTTTTTCTTTTTTTTTTTTTTGAGACGGAGTCTCGCTCTGTCGCCCAGGCTGGAGTGCAGTGGCGGGATCTCGGCTCACTGCAAGCTCCGCCTCCCGGGTTCATGCTATTCTCCTGCCTCAGCCTCCCAAGTAGCTGGGACTACAGGCGCCCGCCACTACGCCCGGCTAATTTTTTTTGTATTTTTAGTAGAGACGGGTTTTTTTCTTTTTTTTGAGACAGTGTCTCACTCTGTCATCCAAGCTGGAGTGGAGTGGTGTGATCTTGTCTCACTGCAACTTCCACCTCCCAGGTACAAGTGATTCTTGTGTCTCAGTCTCCCCAGTAGCTGGGATTACAGGCGTGTTCAACCATACCTAGCTAATTTTTATATTTTTAATAGAGATCGGGATTTGCCATGTTGGCCAGGCTTGTCCCAAACTCCTGACCTCAAGATATCTGCCCACCTTGGCTTCCCAAAGTGCTGAGATTTCAGGTATGAGCCACCACACCCAGCCCAAAACTTGATACTATTATATAACACCCAAAGATACAAAGAAAGCGCTCATGGCAAGGTACTATTTGAATGTCCTGGATATATCCACAGAAGCAATCTGAATTACTTCTGTTCAACGATAAATAAAACGGCAGCCAGATATTTGCATAATAGGTAAAATTATTGCACATTATTTTGTAAAAGAGAGCTTGGACATATTTTCACAGGAAAAGTTGCATATGATTAAGCCATACTTTCTTAAGCCATTGATATACACAATGATAAATTCATTAAAGTAACGCCAAGTTGGGTAGAAATTAATAATTTTCCATTTAAAATAACATATGACTGTAAAAATGACTGTAAAAGAACAAGAGGAATATGCCTGTACATCTCTCCCCTCTACCACAGATACACTTGTAAGATAGAACTGATCACCAGAAGAAAAATCATTCGTAGGCTAGAAGCATGAAAGACTTTTACATATTTAAAGGAGGTACTAATTTAAATAAGGCATAGATGGCCAACTTATTGTCTCTTGATCCTGTGACACATCAGTTATTTATAAAGAAATGGAATCTCGGCAGAACTGCAGGAACAGGTTTTATACTGTGGTGGGTGAGTGTAGTCTATGAAAATTACAGGAGATCTGCATCAACCAAGAGAAGACTTCGGAGCATAAGAAGGGTATTTAGGCAGGTAGGCTAGGTTTATCTTGACCTAGCCTCCTGTCCAGTTCTAAATGTGTTCTAGATTTTTATTCTTTAACAAGATTTTATTAAAATAAAAAATAAAATAAGGCACTATAAATTTAGTAGACTTCCAATTGTCCCATGATTGTTACTGGTAATACCTGAGAGGTATTTGTAGTGAACCAGTTTCTCACCCTAACACGAAGTTAATTTCAGAAAAAAAAAAAAAAAATCAGTGCTAATTCTTTGTTTTCTAGATATGATATAACTAATAGAATTTAAAGTACTTACTAATCAAATAAAGTGTGCTTGTATTTATAAGCTGCTAGGGAGAATGAACTCCTTCTAGATGGATATCATGGTAGGAATATTTAATGTTGTTGCCCTGCCTGTGTCTTGAACTAGCAGCCATTTTTCTGTGGCCTGCCCTGTGGCTTATGAGATGTCCAAACCCTCTGGGTAATCTAGGCAAAAAGATCAGAGAGAATGTGAGAAATAACAAGTTAGGGTGAATATAAAATATGTGCAGGAAACAGAAGCAAAGAAAGAGCAGAAAGTCTAGACCTCATGTGACAGTAATGTTTAAAAATCATTTGTTCTCTAGATAAATCAAGATTTTTCATTTATTTTATTGTTTAACAATACTATTTTATTTTGCAGTAAACCCTTTGGGCTGCTATAAGTTTGAAAATAAGGAAAGTACATGTTTAATTAATAAACTATTTCTTAAGAAAGTTGATTTTAATATGTAATTTGCACATAATATTTACAGATATTTATTATCTATCATAGAAACTCCAATGATATTATTGACTATGTAAATGTTTAAAGCTGCATAAGTGCCCACTTCAAGAGTTCCTATTATTTTCAGAATACTTTACCTAGAGAAAGTATATTTATATATTATTCTATTATATATTATTCTATTCTATATATTATTATATATAGAATAATATATAAATATATATTTATATATTATTCTATAGAACAAATATTTTTTCACTTAATAAGAGATGATTTTTTAAGATGTGAAGGTCCTATTGCAGATAGGAGTGCAAATGGTTAATTTGGAGAGGTAACGTCTATGTGGTAAACAGAATTACACTCTTCCAAAGGTGTCCATGTGCTAATCCTAATCTTTGGAATCTTTTAATATGCTAATTTATCTGGCAAAAGGGACTTTGCAGAAATGCTCCCTAAGTGTCTTGAACTCCTTATATGTGAATTGGAGAGGTAGGAGAATTAGAGTTAAGGGGAAACTTTAAGATGCTGTGCTGCTAGCTTTGAAGTTGGAGCAAGAGGCCCTAAGCAAAGGAATGCAGGCAGACACTTGCAGATGCGGGAAAAATAAAAAAAAGCAAAGTTCTGCCTAAATGACAGAAATTTATTTTCTCACAGTTATGGAGGCTAGAAATCCTCTATCAGGGTGCTGACAAGGTTAGTTTTCCCTGAGACCTCTCTCCTCAGCTTGCAGATGGCCACTTATTCATTATGTCCTCACATGGTCTTTTCTCACAGAGAATGTATCCTGGTGTCTCTTCCTTTTCCTATGAGGACACCAGTCATACTGGATTAGGCTCTACCCTAAAGGCCTTATTTGAACTGAATTACCTTTTTAAAGACCCCATCTCCAAACACAGTTACTTTCTGAAGTACTGAGGAATAAGACTTTAACATATAAACTTGCGAGGAGATAATTCGGTCCATAATGTGGAAGAAGAGAGTTGAGCAGAGAGTGACACAGACTGCAATGTGGCTCTGATGAAGCTTCACTTGAACCAATTGTCCAGAATAAAGATTGCCCAAAGGAGGAATCTCAAGTTTGTAGAAATCACTAGGCTCCATTATCAGCATCATGCTCAGCCATTGGCTATGAGCTTCCCTACAAGCTCAGCTCACGAGCTTCCTACTTTAAAAATATAGAGGGTCAAAAAAAAAACAAAAAAACAAAAACACCTATTGGTTACTATGCTTATTACTCAGGTGACTAAATAATCTGTACACTATACACCTGGGACACCTAGTTTACCTATATAAGAATCCTGCAAATGTACTCCTAAAAAAGTTAAAAAATGAAGTGAAGGATCACAGTCACTTTATTGTATCTGTCACCAGCTATATGTATCATGGCAAAAACACTAGGAACTTAAGCATATTTTTTTCAGTGGGACCAATTACAAAAGATGAATATTTTATGGCTTCACTTACATGTTCATTCCTGCATTTAAGTGCAGATCCCTGTTTTCTTTTTATTAAGTCCAATGTCAAGGATGTTTAATCCAATCGGCCTGTGAGTGAGTTATCTAATATTGGATATTTGCCTCTCCACCTTCATTCTCTTCACTAATTCAGGCTGTGCAAATTCTTCTTTGAATAGACAAGAAAAACAAATAGAAAGAAGACTGGAAATAACACCAAATAATGTGCAGGTCTTGTTGAAATTAGCCCTGGGGCTGGACATAATGCAAGCAAGGAGATGAGTACATTTGGGACTTAATGCTTCCAGGAACAGTCATTCTCACAGCAGTCACCTAGAAGAAACAATTATGTAGAGAGTCAGAGTTCTTTGTTGTATTTTTCTGCACATCTAGTTGTTTTATTATACCTATTCTACCACTCCCTGGACTGATAGTGTAATTTAATTGCATGTATAAAACAGATCTTGTTACTTTGTTCATACTTCAATATTTTGTGCTCTAGGGGGAAAATCAATTCTATTAAATAACACATTTTGCAGCATTCTTTTATTCAAGGGGGTAGGGCAAATTGTTACCATTAAAAACAAACATTAAATGATGAAAATAATACAAAATATGTTCTCTGACTACATAAAGAATTAAGCTAAAATTCAATAACAAAAATAACCAAAAATCTCCAAATACTTGAAGATTAAATGTTGCTTATTTTGTTAATTCATAAATTTTTAATGGAAATTTGAAAATATTTTTAATCAAATGGTAATGAAAATATGACATTGCCAAACACGTGGAATGCAAAGTGAAATATATACCCT